>NC_000023.11:82462542-82765572 GCF_000001405.40 Homo sapiens | reverse complement strand
GGACATCTACAGAATTACACACAGAAGTGATCAACAGAAGTTCTGCATTTCATGAAAAAGGACTAATCCCCCATAACCAAAAGGTACTTAACTTGATTTTTACTGTGTATTGAAGAATATTTTAAACGATCATCTTAACTTTTGTACATTTATTAAAATGCAGTTTCTGTTTAGTAAGATTCTTAGCTTTCTTCTCTTTGCACAGCCTGGAGTACACAGTACAGTATATAGAAACAAATGCTAAGCTGATGTGGAGTTAAAAATCCGGCCTATTGGAGATGTCCTCAGCAAGGTTCTCTTGGTCATTTGGCACTGAAAGCTTCCTATAAAGAAATGAAAACTAAAGGCTAAAGATATGTACGAAACAATAATATTAGGTTGTGGCAAACATTATTGTAAGAATCTCAACAAGGAGGACATAAAACATTCAGAGGTTGATGTCTTTTTGTCAGATATTTGTGTTTAAAAGTTTTCTATAAGTATTCAAATAATTTTCTTTCACAATTGAACTGTGTCATCTCTTAACTTTTAATTATTCTAAAATGGCATTTTTGCTGTATTTAATTAATAAGAAATGAAAGTCATTTTTTATTTCATCAAATCAAAACCTTGTTCTTCAATGAAATAGCAATTATAATAGTAATTATGATGATTCTTCACATTCATGAAGTGCTTTTACTTTCTCTTAAAATTCCTTTGACGAAGGAAAAGGAAGGACCAATCAGATATAGATGGAATGCTTATTTCTCCTTCCATCAAATAGTTAAATGCTTGTTAACTTTTCTCTGTCTCTCTCCCTGTCTCTCTCTCTCTCTCTTAGTTGCTCACTCACTATTGCCTTCCTTTTGTTTCTCTGTTAATATTTCTTGAATCCTTGGTATGACTCAGGTGTTTTACCCTCTTTGGGAACTTTTTCAGGGTTTCTTATTTGTCTCTTTCATTATTACTATAAAAATGTTTAGCATAAATTATGTGTAGGGCCAAGTGCTAGACACTTAAAATCACTGAAGGTTTAGGTATACTCGTAACACATTCAATATTTATGTTTCCTGTTACTGTTTCCTGTTATATGCTCTTATATTTTTGTAATTTAACACTCCACAGCCCAGAATACAATTCCAAGGCACAAAGGCATTTAAATACATCCTGGAAGTTGTTGAGAATAATTATTTTGCTTTCCTTCAACAAATGTTTGTTGAGCATCTACTATGTGCTAAGCACTGTATTATGTGCTAGAGATATAAATGAAGAATAATATAGTACCTCTTCTCAAGAGATCATAATCTTAGTGATGAAAACAGACATGACAACTGATGAATATAGAGCAATGATAAGTCTGATAATAAAGGAATAACAGAGTTTTATGGGAGGGAACGGAAAGAGCTCACAAGATTGCTTGAAGGATGAGTCAGAACAAGGCTCACAGAGGTGGGTTTTAATGATGAAGGACTTTGCCAAGCAGATGACAATTAATAGTAATAATGATAATAATAACAATGTCCTTTATTGGGCCACTACTAGGTCCCAGGCAGTAGGCTAAGTATAATGGTTATTACCTCTGTTTTGCAAATGAGATAGCTGAGGTTCAAGAAGTTAAGTAACTTCTCCAAGATCACACAGGAAGTAAATAGCGGAAACAGAATTTCAACCCCAGTTTATCTTATTCTACCTACATGGTACTACTATACTTTGCCACCATTTTATAGTTCTCCTTATAATATGGTTTTGTAAAATGTTATTTTTTTAACCTTTAATAATTTGTTTCCAAATTTTTTTTAATTTACATTTTGCTTTTTATTATGTGTGTTAATTAAAAATTAGTTTGAGTGTGTATATATAAAGTATATTCAACAGTGATTTCAGCCCTACCTATCTCTTAGGGTTTTTATGAGACTCAAATGATAGGAGACTTTTAAAAGTTCTTTGAAAATTTGACAGATAAAACAAGTACTTATTATTATTCATAATGTATCTCCAGCCACAAAAGTTTGCTCAGTTTTTGTCATTTTAAGTTTTACTTTCACTCTAAGGATTATTTCTTTATGTCTGTTGAGTTTACCTTTGCATGTCTGTGGATGTTTCCATGTTCTACTTCTTTGCAATTATATTTAATTGATTTACAGTTAGAATTGTGATTTGGCAGTAATTACTTGATCATCTGTAGATGATATCAATCTAATTATTTGTAAACTGGCTGCCATTAGTTACTTTCATTTTCCACTTTTGCATGATTTTGTACATGCATGCATGTGTATGTGGTATAGCTCTACAATATATTACAGCATTACTAAAGCCAAGTTTAACTGACTTACTTAAGCTTCATTTTAAGTCACTGTCATATGCATACCGTAAACTTCAGGTCTTTGACATTTCTTTAATGCTCAATCTGCTTGTAGCACCAGTAATTTATTCATATTTTTTAAAAATTTTGAATGCCATTTTCCAACAAGTAGTTACTTTTTGGACACGTTTCTATGATATTTACTAAGAGCTAAGCATGTGACTTTGCATTATTTGTTTTTAATAGTTTTTGTATACTTCCATTGACTTTTATCTTGAAGTATTTATTTCTGCATTTTTATTTTTTTATTTTTTTTCTGGAGATGGAGTCTTGCTCTGTCACCCAGGGCCCAGGCTGGAGTGCAGTTGTGCAATCTTGGCTCACTGCAACCTCCGCCTCCCAGGTTCAAGCAATTCTCCCGCCTCAGACTCCTGAGTAGCTGGGACTACAAGCGCGTGCCACCATGCCAGGCTAATTTTTTGTATTTCTAGTAGAGACGGGTTTCACTGTGTTAGCCAGGATGATCTCACTCTCCTGACCTCCTGATCCACCCACCTCAGCCTCCCAAAGTGCTGGGATTACAGGTGTGAGCCACCACACCCAGCCATTTCTGCATTTTTAACCAGAAACTTATTCTCAGTCTCCCAGGATCTGGATTATAAGACCTTTGAGCTACTTTATTTATTTAAAAAATAGTAAATTCAATGCTGGGCAAGGTGGCTCATGCCTGTAATCCCAGCACTTTGGGAGGTTGAGGCAGGTGTATCACCTGAGGTGGGGAGTTCGAGACCAGCCTGACCAACATGGAGAAACCCTGCCTCTACTAAAAATACAAAATTAGCCTGGTGTGGTGGTGCACACCTGTAGTCCCTGCTACTCGGGAGGCTGAGGCAGGAGAATCACTTGAACCCCGGAGGCAGAGTTTGCAGTGAGCCGAGATCACACCATTGCACTCCAGCCTGGGCAACAAGAGCAAAACTCCATCACAAAAAAAAAAAAAAAGGAAATTATTTGTGATGGTTTTAATAGTGATGAAACTGTCATTTCTCTTTATATTATATATTCAATATTTGTCTCAAATATTAATAAGGTTTATTTGTCCCAAAGATGTGGGGATTAAAAAAAAAATCATAGATAGGTTTACTGTTCACTTCTATTTTCCTCTTCATTCAAGGCTAGATCTTGGAATTTTAGAACTTCATGGAGTTGTAGACATATCTTTGATTGAATCAGCTTGACAGCAAGATAGTGACTATATTGTGCCCAGAGTGAGAATAGAATTATCCATACTTTCTGATCCTTGTATGGATTTTCATTAAGTTAATTATTTTCTAAAATTATTTTATATATTGGATATAAATATTGACTTGTATGAGAAGCTTTTTCTTTTTAAATGAATTTTATCTTATTTTATTTTTTCAACTTTTATTATAGAAACAAAGTATACATGTGCAGGTGTGTTACAAAGGTATATTGTGTGATGCTAAGGTTTGAAGTACAACTGAATCCACCACTCAAGTAGTGAGCATAGTACTCAATAGGTTGTTTCCCAACACTTGTCCCCCTCCATCTTTTCCTCCCTTATTTAATGTCTCCATAATATATCTTGGTTTAAATTAGTGTTTTTTTCCTAATTAACAGACAAAAGTAAAATAGGTAAAATGAATATCTCTTTTTCTCTGTGGATATTTTTAGTAAGATAATAGTATGATCTATGTTTGAGTAATAAGCTGGTCTAGAGACTTCAAAGCAAAAGTTTAGAATACTTTAGAAGGCTATGTAAAGTTAGGAGTATAAAGAGTCATGACATATAAAGTTCCCCCTCTTCCCCACCCTGAGATCTTAAAACTGAGCTGAGAATACAAAAACACTTTGTGGAATACAGCAATAATAAAAAGGAAAAAACAGCTCTATTTATCAAGTATTTGATAAGTAATCCCCACAATCCCTTCCACTATGTGCTGTAAATTTTCTCTAAATTAACCAGCTACAAAGCCAATTAAGGAATTGTGTCTCAGAGTTCTCACTCACAAGTGGGAGTTGAACAATAAGAACACACGGAAACAGGGAGGGGAACAACACAGGTGGGGAGCAAGGGGCGGGAGAGCATTAGGACAAAGCCTAACGCATATGGGGCTTAAATGGGTTGATAGGTGAAGCAAATCACCCTGGCACGTGTATACCTATGTAGTAAACCTGCACATTCTGCACATGTATCCCAGAACTTAAAGTAAAGTAATAATACTGATAAAAGAAATTTGTATTTTACCTTCATAGTCAATTTCCAAATTCTTATGCTGTGGAAACTCATTCCATCTCTATTGGCTATAGAATTAAATTCAACGTAAGTTATATCCACATTATACCTGTTCCAAAGGAACATACTTATTCAAATATCTGAAATCCTTCTTCATATTTTAGTCTAGCCCACATAGATGCAGTATGGAGCCTGAGGCCCACTTTTGAAGAAAGGTACAGCAGACAATTTGTTATCTTGTACTATACACTCCCAGGAAAGCTTGGATAATATCATCTCCATTTTAGCTCTATAATTGTATCATTTAAAACTATATGCAAGAGAGAAGAGCATTAATTATGCTAGTTAAACCTGAGAACAACAAAAAATGCCAATTATGCGTAAGTCCTTGATGTGTGTAACCCCATATTGTATTTTCTTAAATTTCCAGGAGAATATAAAGAGACGACAAAGGATCAGTGAACAAATTTTTTTTCTTGTGGTTTATAACAACCACATGTTATATTATCACATATACTCCCTTTTAGGTGAAATCTGAGTATATAGCCAGAGGTATGTATTACAATATTTCCAGAATAACTTCTGGGGTATCATCCTGGAACACATGTGTATAAATGGATAGTAAATAGTCTCAGGCAACTGAAAAATGGAATCTGCACCCATATTATTACTGAGAGGAAGTTGAAAATTTATCAAAAATAAGGCCCTTGTTATCAGCTAAAGTGTTAGATTGTAAAAATCAGAGCAACTAAACAATTCTTACGTCTGATACATAAGATACATTCCACATTCATTTAACTGAGATTTACTAAGTATGCACCACAGGAATAGTCCTGGGCTAGGTGCTGTTAAACACAAAGAAGTACACAGCATGAAAGCTGTACTTAAAGCATGTATACCATATGTAGAGAGACAAAATAAATGTACATTAAAGCTACTGAGTAATTCATGAGTATAAGCAATTACCACAAAGTATAAAGTTATATTAAAATGAAAGGTCAGATTTAAATGATCAGTATTGTGTGAGTTCAGAGCAGAGAACAATGTGGACTGGCTTGATCAGGGAAGGCTTTCTGAAGGAGGTGAGACTTGAGGTGGACCAAAAAGTGATTCTAGGTGGTAAGGAATTGGATAGATAGCAGTAAGGAGTGGGGGCTATTCAGTGTCTGAAGAAAAATGAATAGTAAATAAAGTCTTAAAAGCTGTACTTAATGGTTGCAGGATCCTGTTTTTGAAAGAAGCATTAGGGAAGAGCAGCAAGAGACTAGCAGCCCTAGACCCCTGGGCTGAGTCAGATGCTACCCTGGCTTGGCCAAGGATTGGTCCTGTTGTCATACATTGTGACTCCAAATTACTTTGTTGAGTGAATTTTATTATTTCCTACTCCCAACTCATCATAATTCAATCAATTGCCATGTGATCTTTTGCAAATAAATAAAAGTCTTACAGCTAAGCATATATAATATGGCACAGCAGACTTTCATCTTATTGTTTTGAACTAGCCAGACCTATATTTTAAGAAAGATCACCCACAGATTTTGGCAGAAAGAGAAGGGAAAGAGAGAGAAAGAAATCCACCCACTGTGAACACGTTGAATTATTCTTACCAGGGCATCTGTGTGAACGATGCAAGCTGTGCAAAAATATTAATTTTAAGTGTGGCATATTCTGTGCAAGTCTGTCAAAAGACAAATACAGGCCGGGCGCAGTGGCTCATGCCTATAATCCCAGCACTTTGGGAGGCCGAGGCGGGTGGATCACCTGAGGTCAGGAGTTCTAAACCAGCCTGACCAACAGGGTGAAACCTCATCTCTACTAAAAATACAAAAACTCGCTGGGCGTGGTGGCGGGCGCCTGTAATCCCAGTACTCAGGAGGCTGTGGCAGGAGAATCGCTTGAACCCAGGAGGCAGAGGTTGCAGTGAGCCAAGATCGTGCCATTGCACTCCAGCCTGGGTGACAAGAGTGAAACTTCATCTCAAAAGAAAATTTAAAAAATACAATAAAAAGACAAATACAGGCCAAGGAATTAAATATGTATGTGTGTGTGTATATATATATATGAAGATATTGGTCACCTCAGTGGTTTAAAAGTGTTCCTTCCTGGGTTATGGGCTGGGCTATTGGTAAGGTCAATTTTTACTGCCTTCAATGCCAGTGGTAAACTTTCTCCTCTTATATTGTGGTGGAAGTGGGACATATGTCCCCATAAGTTTTCCAAGCCCAGATAATTGATCTGATAATAGCTTCTTGTCTCCTGGAGTTTGCGATAAGCATTAAATAGAGGAAAGAATAGGGACAAATAGGAAGAAATTGTTCACATCTTCAGTTCCCCATATTGGAAAGGCAGATTCATTAGGTATTCATCCTTTAGCAGAGGAACCTAGGGTTTCTGAATTTCTCTAAGTGAGTTTATTTTTAATGCTAGCTGTTTCGGAAAACCCCTGACATATTCTAGGTTAGTTAAAAGGAAGGAGTTTACATCCTGAGGAAGACTAATTTGGTTGAGGTCTGCAAAAGAGTTATTTATTCTAAAGATGACTGGAAAGTGAACAGGAAACATGAAGAGAAAAAACATACATTTTGGCCTTCAAAGCATTTTTTGGATTTTGTTTCATAACCCTAATCTTTAACATCAGATTAAAAGCCTCTAAATTTTATTTTACTTTCAGCGGTTAAATAACTATTAGTAATACAATAAAGCAAACCCTTCCCAATTTAAAAATGACCTTAGAAAGGAAACAAAAGACAATGTATTGAATATTTACTATACTATAGGTTTATGCTATAGATTCTAACTTTGGCATACTGGATCCTTGAGATATTTATGTGATTCACACTAACCCTTCTTATCATTCAATTATGCCACACTTAAAAAGTAATTCCACTATCACAATGGAATGAGGTTATGGACAATTATGCCCATTTTAACAAGGTGGACCCACCCAGAATTACTATACCATTTTTACTTTTCCCAAATGTGGAAAAACACAACAGTGAGCTGCCTTCCAGAAAATACAATCTAATAGCTAAACTTCATCGAAATTTTACCTGAATACTTTGAAGAAGTCATTTCTCTCCGCCTATTTGGCTTAAAGATGACTGTTGCTTCAGTGCAGGTATATGAAAAGTAGTTTTAGAAGAGTCTTTAGTTTTTTCTGAGTGAGTCATGTAAAAGCTGTTTGTTGTTATAAACCTTTCTCAAGTATAAAGAACATTGAGTTCCAGTATTTGCTACTTCCTTCTGAGCAGATGTTTGGCATCTTTTGTTTTTGGAATCAAATCAGAAATTCTGGCTACCATGTAGGAAATCATCCACTGAATGTAGAAGTTAGCCAATATTGTGTGAGTGTGTGTGGCAGGCAGGGGGTGGGGGGGCGGGGTGGGGAGCTTTCTAACCTTCTAATCCAAACACCTGAAACTTTGCAAGTGTCATATTGACAGTTCTCCGCATTCTGTTTTGTTAATGTGCAAGTCGAATGGCATTAATTTGGGGTTAAGGAAGTTACAAAATTCCTGTCATTTGCACTTTCATTCTTATTAAAATCAGTCAACACTGAAAATTCAGAAAATCTGTGGGCTAGCTGCCTTTTCCATACTTTTCTGATGCTTGTTTAATCCAAGGAGTTGAAGAAAATATATAATATATTATATATTCAGGAGAGAGCTCCTCGGAAGTTTTTCCTCCCAGCCCTGGCTGTGAAAGGACAATTTTGCTCATTGTAATCTATGTGGACTGCTGCAGCACACATATGACTTGAATACCATTGAAACTTAGCTCAGTGGTTTTCTTGTTCCATTACACAAAACAATCAAAGGCTTTTTTCTGATCAATTGCATACATTGATTTTATGTATCATTTCTCTAGAAAATGCAGTTAAGTGTCAGGAAAAGCTTTTGGATGGATGCATCACTAATATATACATATCAGTGGCCATGAATACTGGGTTACTTAAGACACACAATCAGATGCAACAGATTGGTCTCAGCTTTACTGATTTTGCTCTTGGCCTGTTGGATATTATTCACTATCATAGCACCCAAAGATTTGGAATAGCTAAAAAACCAGAGTGAAGTTTGATTAGATCAGTTGTCGTGTACTTTCCACATTGTACAAACCCTCTTTGTACCTGTTATGGTGCTCTTCCCATAATCAGTTTGGATAGTGATGCTAAATAAATCTTTAGCTGTTTTCCTCATGAATTTTATTTACTCAAACAGTTATGTTATATAAAAAGTTTCGGTGCCACAAAAGAAATAGCACTGGAATATAAAATTTTCTTTTTAATTCTCAGCAAGGCAAGGTACTTCTATAGAAGGGTGCATCCTTACAGGTGGAGCAATGGTGAGCACACTCTTGGACAAGGGAGGGGAAGGGGTTCTTATCCCTGATGCACGTGGCCCCTGCTGCTCTGTCCTTCCCCTATTGGCTAGGGTTAGACCACACAGGCTAAACTAATTCCGACTGGCTAATTTAAAGAGAGTGACACGGTGAGTGGTTTGGCCGGAAAAATGGTCTGACAGAACAGGTAATCGGAATGAGTCAGGGTGGAGTAGCTAATCTGGTTGAGTAAGGGTGGAGCAGGTGATTGAAATGAGTCAGGGTGGAGCAGGTAATTGAAAAAGTGTGCTTTATGAGGAAGTTAAGTTCAAAAGTAGAAGGCGAAGAATTGAATATACTGACATTGATTCTTTCAAAAGAAATTTAGAACTCATATCTAACAGTTAAACAGTATGACCTGTATTGTCTGATATAACAAAAAATCCGGACATAAGATGATTCTAGGTGTAGTAAATTCAGTGTCTCAGTAATACAAAATACCAAAGTTGTTGCTAATGTTTTTCTCTGCAACTCCAAGCATTTCAGGTTGGGTCTGAATAGCAGAATTTTAATTCTGCTACTATGAGTCTTAATTTCTTTGTTATTATATGCCAAATGTTTTAACATATATTACCTTATTCAATATACACAAAATAGTTCTTATGTATTATAACAGATACTGATGATTGTATATCCAACAGAAATCCACTCCTCCCCTTCCTCTTTCTTAACAAAACACTATTTTTTACTTATGTAGTAACTTTTTCTTTAGGGCTTTGCATTTAAGATAAGTGGATGTTGTTTCTAATCCAGGGAATGAGTGTCAACTAATGTTGGCAAGATAAGTGATGTAATTTTTCTGGCCAGTGATTAGTTTTGTTACAGGCCTGGGACTCATTTCTGATCAATGAGACCAGAGAGAAAGGTTTTTGGGGAGCATTAGGAAAAACTTTACTTAATGGTTAAATAAAAAGAGAACAGATACATGCAAGAAACACCTACCTTTGTTCTTATTCTTCTGGGCTTTTTTATGTCTGAATCTGATCCCTGAAAGTGCTGCAGCTATCTTGCTCCCATGAAGATATCTGAATTGAAATGCTTGGAATGGCAGAGAAAATCCTTGGCAAGGACTTCGGTCTTTTGTGTCAATGAGCCATTGAATTAACTAAACTTAGAATAAACTTATGTCTTCATTTTTTGTTATGTCAGACAATACAGATCATATTGTTTAAGCTATTTGATTCTGTGGCTTCTGCTACTTTCAAGCAAAAAATATCTAAGTTGATCCAAGTACAAGTACTTTTTGTTGTTGTTGTTGTTGTTGTTGACAGAGTCTTGCTCTGCCTCCCAGGCTGGAGTGCAGTGGCGCTATCTTGGCTCACTGCAACCTCCACCTTCCAGGTTCAAGTGATTTTCATGCCTTAGCCTCTGGAGTAGCTGGGATTACAAGTGCGTTCCACCACATCCGGCTAATTTTTGTATTTTTTAATAGAGACAGGGTTTTGCCACGTTGGCCAGGCTGGTCTTGAACTGCTGGCCTCAAGTGATAGGACTGCCTTGGCCAAAGTGCTGGAATTACAGGCATGAGCCACCATGCCAGGCTGATCTCGAACTCCTGACCTCAGGTGATCCATCTGCCTTGGCCTCCCAAAGTGCTGGCATTACAAGTGTGAGCCACTGCACCCGACCCCAGTTCAGTTGTTCAGTTTTTGTTGTTGTTGTTGTTGTTGTTGTTTTTAGACGGAGTCTTGCTGTGTCACCCAGGCTGGGGTGTGGTGGCGCAATCTCGGGATCTCGGCTCACTGCAAGCTCTGCCTCCCGGGTTCACACCATTCTCCTGCCTCAGCCTCCCGAGTAGCTGGGACTACAGGTGCCCTCCACCACGCCTGGCTAATTTTTTGTAGTTTTAGTGGAGATGGGGTTTCACCGTGTTAAGGCAGGATGGTCTCAATCTCCTGACCTCGTGATCTGCCCGCCTTGGCCTACCAAAGTGTAGTTCAGTTTTAATTGATGCTACATTTCCCCTAACTGGATGAATGTGGTAGCATATTTAGCATTTCATTTTACACCAAGAGTCTTTCAGGTGAATAAACAATCTGTGAAAATGTGTTTTCTATTCTCTGTACAAAACCAATATGTTTTGTTACTTCCACTTCATCTTCCACACCCAATCCTTAAGATCATTTTGGGCCAATGAAGGTATTTATGACTATGAGGCTATTAGATTCTCAATTAAAAAAACACAAGCTGTAACTTATATACATGCAACACTGGAGGTGAGGGGAAAAAAGTTTGAATAAACAGTAATAACTAGTGTATCACAAAGACAAGTACAGGCCAATATAGAACAATGACATGATGTTCTTAAAAGAATAATATGGAAAGAAAACAAAAATTTTAGGCTTATTAGATATTATATTAAAATCTCTTGGCTAAACCTGTAAAATGAAGAAAAAAATAATCATTACCTAGATGAATAATTCAAAATGAGATTTTAAATTTAATACATAATAAAGTAAGGAAAGAAATCATACATACAATTTGAAAAGTAAGTCTTATTCAGTAGAATTTGATTATACCCTGGCAAAAATCATGTTGAACAAATAATACTTGATATTTTCTAAAATGTAGGTTTTAATTTTGTCAAAGAATAAATAAGTTTTAATTTTATGATGTATTTAAAAGATTGTTGAGGGTAAGACTATGTTAATTATACACTGTTCACAATAGCAAATACATGGAATCAACCTAAATACCCATCAAAGATAGAATGGATAAAGAAAATGTGGTACATATACACCATGGAATACTATGCAGCCATAAAAAAAACCAAAAAAAACAAGATCGGCTGGGTGTGGTGGCTCATGCCTGTAATCCCAGCACTTTGGGAGGGGGAGACAGGCCAATCACCTGAGGTCGGGAGTTATAGACCAGCCTGAGCAACATGGAGAAACCCCATCTCTACTAAAAATACAAAATTAGCCGGGCGTGGTGGTGCATGCCTGTAATCCCAGCTACTCGGGAGGCTGAGGCAGGAGAATCGCTTCAACCTGGGAGGCAGGGGTTGTGGTGAGGCAAGATTGCACCATTGCACTCCAGCCTAGGCAATAAGAACAAAACTCCATCTCAAAACAAACAAACAAACAAAAAAAAACAAGATCATGTCCTTTGCAGGGACATGGATGGATCTGGATGCCATTATCCTTAGCAAACTAACACAGGAACAGAAAACCAAACACCGCATATACTTACTTATAAGTCAGAACCAAATAATGAGAACACATAAACACACAGAGAGGAACAACAGACATTGGGAACTATTAAGGGTGGAGGGTGAGAGGAGGGAGAGGATCAAGAAAAATAATTAATGGGCACTAAGCTTAATACCTGCTTGAAGGCCAAGCACGGTGGCTCACGCTTGTAATCCCAGCATCTTGGGAGGCCGAGGCGGGCGGATCACAAGATCAGGAGTTTGAGATCAGCCTGGCCAACATGATGAAACCCCGTCTCTACCAAAAATAGAAAAATTAGCCGGGTGTGGTGGCCATCACCTGTAATCCCAGCTTTGGGGAGGCTGAGGCAGGAGAATTGCTTCAACCCGGGAGGTGGAGGTTGCAGTGAGGCAAGATAGCACCACTGCACTCCAGCCTGGGCGACAGAGCAAGACTCCATCTTAAAAAACAAACAAACAAACAAAAAACCAGGGTGAAGAAATAATCTGAATAACAAATCCCATGACACAAGATTACTTATGTAACAAACCTGCACATGTACCCCTAAACTTAAAACACAACTTAAAAATAAATAAATAAATAAATTAGTAAAAGTCCATTACTTTTGGTGAAAAACAACATACCTCTAATACGGATGCTATCAGGAATTTTTCTTGCATTTTTCAGAGATCTTTACATGACATTTACTTCCTGTGTGGTATTATCAATTTCTGCACTGCTTTCAGTAGTTAAGGTTAAACTCTATTTATTTTCTGTTTCACTGTGGTTTGACTATTTAACTCTTTCATGTGTTCTTATGTGCACATTACTATTTTACAAAATAAGGAATCCTGAAAATGTTTAGAGGACCTGAAATGATACTTCAATAAACAGATTTTAATTTTTATAAAAAATATTCTATGGATTTAGATCATGCATTGAAAATAGTGAAAATTACAACATAAGGCATGGGGATTTGTGTGATGAAATTAATATGTTTTATAATAACACTATTTTATAAGATGTAATTCCATTACAGTGTTTGCCCATAATTTTTGAACTAGGTGATTGCAGTTTATTGAAAAAATATGGTCACAATGTTTTGTAACTTATTTATCATGAGGTGAATCTAGTCTAAACTGCTGGAATGCAGAATCCTGAAGTAATAAATGATTGGCTTTTTTGTTTGTTTGTTTTTTGTTGTTTTGTTTTTTTGAGAAGGACTTTCACTCTTGTTGCCCAGGATGGAGTACAATGACCGGCTCACTGCAACCTCCAACTCCCAGGTTCAGGCAATTCTCCTGCCTCAGCCTCCCGAGTAGCTGGGATTATAGGCATGTGCCACCATACCCAGCTAATTTTTGCATTTTTAGTAGAGACGGGTTTTCACCATGTTGGTCAGGCTGGTCTCAAACTCCTGACCTCAGGTGATCCACCCGCCCCGGCCTCCCAAGTGCTGGAATTACAGGGGTGAGCCACCACGCCCGGCCAAAATAATTGCTGTCTTAAGTCAATAAGATTTTATTATACAAGAAAGGCTAACTAATATAATGGTTCATTGTATAATCTAAGTATCTCTTGGAAGTTAATAATGTTATTGACAATTGCAGTTACTACTATTTCAAATGAAAAGAATTTCTTCAAATTGAAACTAATGAAAAACTAGCTAGAAATTACCATGACTCAAGACATGTTGTCATATTTAGCATTGCTGCAAGCAGAACACAAATAATGTGAAAATCGTTATCATGAAAACATCATTGGTGATTTTGGTGAAATAAATGTAAGAAATATATATTTGATAAAATAAATATAACAAATTTATGAATTATTTATGTATTTATTTTATTACTCATCAAAACATTCCTGGCCAGGCGCGGTGGCTCACGCCTGTAATCCCAGCACTTTGGGAGGCTGAGGCAGGCAGATTATGAGGTCAGATCAAGACCATCCTGGCTAACACGGTGAAACTCTGTCTCTACTAAAAATACAAAAAATTAGCCAGGCATTGTGATGGGCGCCTGTAGTCCCAGCCACTCAGGAGGCTGAGGCAGGAGAATGGCGTGAACCTGGGAGATGGAGCTTGCAGTGAGCTTAGATCGCGCCACTGCACTCTAGCCTGGGCAGCAGAGCAAGACTCCGTCTCAAAACAAAAACAAAAACAAAAACAAAAACAAAATTCCTGCCTCATCAGTAGAACACCTAGAACTGCACAATAATTGTTAAATTATCTTATTTTTGGAATTTTTCCCAAACCCCACAAGTTTTAGGGAATAGCTTTTTGTTTGCCTCCACTGCCATTGACTTATTTTCAACCCTCAATTATCTCTCACCTTCATTATTTTAATATTCTTCTAACAGCTTTATATAATTTGACTATCATTTTATCAACACTACAGATATAGTTATGAAAAACTTCACATTTTATATCTTTGAGAAGCAAACATTCACAGAAGAATGTAGAGATTATTAAGAAGGAAATTCAGTAAGTGTTGTAAAGCACAGATAGGTACTAGATTCTCAAGCATTAAGATAAGTTGTATAATGTCACTGAATTAAGGTCTTTCTGAAAAACCTTTGGCTTTCAGGTCACTGAGTTAAAAATGTTTGTGTCTTAAAATACAATGAGCTTCTGACCCAAGTCAAGGAAGAAAGACAAGATGATGAAAATTTTTTGGTACCTGCTTTTGTTGGAATTTTATGTCCTGCTACATTTGTGCAGGAATCTCAGGTTACTAGGAGTAACCTAGTACAACAACCTGAAAAAGGTGTTTTTGCTTTTCAAAATGTCCTTACTTTTCCAAATCCAATTATATTACATGGTGGCTGTAGGAAATACATTTAGCATATAGGAAATGCAGGATTTATGATTAATGCATTTATTATGATTTGAAAGTGTAATATTATAAAGTCCTCTGTGAAGCATTTCAAATCTTTAAGGAAGTGTGTCTTCATGTACACAGTGATGCAAACATATAATCCCTGATGTCTGTACTTTAATTGATATGTACTATATTGCGCTTTTTGAGACTCTGGATAGTCACTTCTTCCATGTAAGTACATTTAGGGGGTGAGATTTGCGTATACCAGAAAACGTTGCGCCCTGTACTTAAAGGCGATGTCAAAGAAAATGTTCTGCCTCAACTAATGACAACAATAAAAATAACATGTACTGAGTTACAACCTAAGTTTCAGAAATCTTAAGTGACTTATCCAAGGGACACATAACTAAAAAGTGATAGAGCAAGGCCTTGAGTTCAGATCATTCTGAATCCAAGTCCATGTTCCTAACCACAATAAATCCTAGTTTCTGATTATAAGTTTCTTTTGGGACCTGACAGATGAAGAAAATCTATACAGACCTTACAGAATTTTTCTGTCAATCAGCAATATTTGTAGAACATACACTATTAATAACACATAAGCTTGAATTAAGGTGATACCATCTAAAATAATTCTTCCTTCAAGTGGATATAGAAAATAATATCTTTCACTCTAAAACAAAATAAGTTACTGTGTCATTAACATTTTAGTTTGAAGTAGTTAATCACATGCCTTTCAGATGCAACTAGCATTTATTGGGCATTTACTACATGGCAGGCACTGGGCTAGACATGTTAACTTCACAGCATTGAGGGAAAAATTATCAAATGAAAATAGCTAACATCAATTGAGTGCTTATTGTAAGCTTTAGAAATTTATGAATTTAGGAAGTTTTCATATATTTTCTTATTTAATCTTCTGAAAATCCCTGTGAGTTAGGTATTCCGAATCAATAAATGAGCCAATGGAGTATCAGAAAGATTTATAAACTTCTCTTAGGTCACAAAAACAAGGTGTTGTGGGAACTTCATTTTAATCTAAAGATCACAGTCTTATTCCGTAAACCAGGGCTATGGATCTGCATTGATGTTTTTGTTCTGACTGAGTTTCTGTATGTGTACAGTGCAGCAATTTAAAGTAGTATTAATTCAGCAGCTTTTGTCCAGCCTTTCATGAAAACACTGTATGCATTATTTTCATTTGCTGGTCTTAATCTTTATTGTAAATGATAAGGCAAAATTGTACAGGTGAGTTCCTGGTTTTTATCTTAATCCTAAAAGTGATGTCAAGCATAAAGAAAGAAATG
Source organism: Homo sapiens (assembly GCF_000001405.40). Taxonomy (NCBI): domain Eukaryota; kingdom Metazoa; phylum Chordata; class Mammalia; order Primates; family Hominidae; genus Homo; species Homo sapiens. The sequence goes on along the minus strand of NC_000023.11, from coordinate 82,749,373 downwards.
TGTCTAATTTAATAATGTTCAGAAAAAGGGTTTTTAGAGGGACCACAGAGCATGCCAAAAAAAATGCAGCATACTTCACATTCCTGAAATTGAGTCCCTCGTCTACCAGTGACATTGCACTAAATTAGGTTTGTATTCATGTGTTGAATGAAGCACTGAAATTTCCTGGGGAAATAAAGCTTCATCTCCCTTTTTCAAAGCTTATTGTTTCTGCAAATACATTGAGCATCTCTTAAGTAATTTCAGCCTCTCATTTATTTAATACACTACAGATGGATATCTGTTTAAGTCATTATGAGTCATTTCTGCCAACAAGTAAGCCCTTCAGAATTTAACAGGAAGAAATACATGCATGCTTCATGTAGCCTTAATTTAGTATGAGAGCCTCCATCTTCTATCTCTGGAAAGCAGTTCCGTCAGCAGGATGAACTTCTCTCTGTGGAAGTAACTTGGTTTGAACATAGCAGAAAACTCACTATCCAATCATTATTGTCCCTCAATCCTGCTACAACGTGCCACAGCAAAAAAGAGAAATATTGAGTTAATGCAACTTTTAGCATGTTGCAGCAATATTTCTGACCATTCTTTTACAACTACATGCACATACAATTTTTTCCTTAAGTATTGGATGTAAGAATAATTTGTTTGTCCCCCACATTTTTCCATGTTAATGATTCTGAAGAAAGTTCACTTCGTCTACCATGTAGTTCCATGTTTCACAAATTTTATGTAAGTCTATTCTAAATAAGTGACTGAATTAGGATTCATCCATCATGGATACATTTCTATAATTGATTTTCTAATCCTTTACTAGGATAATGTATCTCTGAGATCTGAGTATGTTGTTTTGTTATGGTTTATTTAAAATTGTAGATTTTTAAGCTGGGTATTATAAAACAGCTAGAAGAAAACTTAGGAAATATATTTAAAGAATCCTGAATTAATTAAAGTTTTTTTAAAGCAATACACAAAATCTAAAAACCATTAAAATGAGATACACATAACTGCTTTATAAAACTTATAATTATATTCATTGAAACAGTACCATAAATAAAGACAAAATGCAAACAAGAGAGAACAGGATATAAAATACACTTCTGACAAGGCAGTAATTTCCTCACTTTACAAAAAAATTCTAAAAGTCGATAAGAACGAGCTAAAAACCCTACAGAAAAATAGGCAGAGCATATGTATAGACAGTTTGTAGAAAAATATAAGTGAATTTAAACATATGAACATGTGAAATGAGGTGCAACATCACTAATAGAAAAATATATATAGTAGGGGATACATTCCAAGACCCCCAACTGGATGCCTGAAATTGTGGATAGTACTAAACCTTATGAGGATTAAGCTCTGATTTTTTTTTCTTTTATCTTGCCCAAATTCCTTTCTAAGTGGTCTGGGGAGTCATGCCCTACAAACCATACATTCTCATCAGATGGGTTTTATTTAACCCTGTATATAATTACTTACTTTCCGATCTGACTCTGGCATAACAAGGAAGAAAATCAAAATGTTTTACCCAAAAATATATTTCCGTGCCATACATTGAAATTGCCCTGCAAAATCTCTTATGGGAAAAATCTACATGCCTTCCTAATATGTCTCATGCCTTCCTAAAATATATAAAACCAAGCTGTACCCCAACCACCTTGGGCACATGTTCTCGGAACCTCCTGAGGTCTGTGTCACAGGCCGTGGTCACTCATATTTGGCTCAGAATTAATCTCTTAAAATATTTTACAGAGTTTGACTCTTTTCGTCAACAATAATCTGGCACCCAAACACGTGGAGCCTCAGAGAAGACTCAGGAACCCGAAGGAGTTGTGGAAACCAGAACTAAGGTACTAGCACGGGCCCACTGAAGCCCCACCGAGTTCGAGCTTCTCCTCCAGTGGAATGGGTAAGTCTTCCTGAGCCCTGGACCTCCCTTTGGTTGAGGTCCTTAATTTATTCTAAGCTGTTTTTTCCTGGGAAGGTGTTGTTTACGGATCTTAATTCAAGTTAGGAGATGCATTTCTAAAGGGTCTTCTCAATTGCTTTTCTCTCAGAATTAGCTACGAAAAAAGTGAAAACAAGGAGAATGACCCCCTTTCGAGCACTCCTTAGGTTTTATGGCACCTCTACTTGAAGTAATATGGCCTTTGTGCACATTTTACACTAAGGAAAAAGACTGCTAAGGTCGACCTAAGGTTCTCTTTCTCTATTTTCTTTTCTTCCTGCTTTAAATCTTCTGTTACTCTTCTACTAAGATGAAAACCACTGTTCGGATCTAACAGTGTTTTCTGCAAGCTGGCAAAGTTGTACTTGTCTCATGGCTAAAGTACTGAAGTAATAGCTATGAGAACTTTGTGTGTATGTATGTATATGGGTGTATATATATAAAGGCCTTTAGAATAGATTTCTATAATTTTATGTTCAAATGGCAATTAAATTCGTTTTAATTTCCCTCTAGCACACCAGACTTTCTCCCCATACCTTATGATGTAAATTTTGCTATCTGATCTTGATCTGAGTTGTTTCCTTTAATATGCAAATTTGGGGCTATTTAGGGAATGACTGCCTAGGGTGATGCAACATGTTTTCAAGAATTTAAAAGTCTAAAATAGAAATAGAAAAAAAGAAGGAAAAAGGAAGTATCTCATGAATGTATGAAATACTTCTGTCAGCATGCCTAAATACATCTATATATTTATGTGTGTACACACAATATTTTCTTTTTTTTTTTTTTTTTTTTTGTTTGATACGGAGTTTTGCTCTTGTTGCTCAGGGTGGAGTGCAATGGCGCGATCTTGGCTCACTGTTACCTCTGCCTCATGGGTTGAAGCGATTCTCCTGCCTCAGCCTCCTGAGTAGCTGGGATTACAAGCTTGTGTCACCACTCCCCACTAATTTTGTATTTTTAGTAGAGATGGTGTTTCTCCATTTTGTTCAGGCTGGTCTCCAACTCCTGACCTCAGGGGATCCATCCAGTTTGGCCTCCCAAAATGATGGGATTACAGGCATGAGCCACCACACCCAGCCCACAATATTTTCAGGACTAAAAATATATGAAGAGCTCTAATTAATTGGCTTCGAAAAAAGAGCTTAAATCAGATACTTAAAAAAAAAAAAGGAAGACAAGTCAAATTGTAGCAGGACGAGCCACGGACAAAACCTTTCAGACACCGAGTTGTAGAAGGAAGGGCTTTATTCAGCTGGGAGCATCAGCAAGCTACTGCCTTAAAATCTGAGCTCCCCGAATGCACAATTTCTGTCCCTTTTAAGGGCTCACAACGCTAAAGATTTCACATGAAAGGGTCGTGATTGATTTGAGCAAGCAAGGGGTATGTCAAAGGGGCTGCATGCACTGGTGGTCAGAGAGAAACAGAACAGGGCAGGGAGTTTCAGTGTTCTTCTATACAATGTCTGGAATCTATGAATAACATTGGTTTCTAAGTTTTGAGTTGATTTTTAACTACTGGATTTAGGCCAGGCAGGCCCAGGCCTGGTTTCGGGCCTGGCGCCAGGCTGCCTGTCTTTGGTTTTACTTCCTTGTTGTTTTTTCTTAAAACAGGTACTGAGTATAAAACAATATAAAACAACATGAGAGGGTCTCTCTCTTCCTTCAAAATGTTTTTTTCAAGTTCACGTGACTTAAAATCTTTACTAAATAAGCTGGCTTTTTTTTTATTTATTTTTATTTTATTTTTGAGATGGAGTCTCTCTCTGTCGCCCAGGCTGGAGTGCAGTGGCGCTATCTCGGCTCACTGCAACCTCTGCCTCCCGAGTTCAAGCGATTCTCCTGCCTCAGCCTCCCAAGTAGCTGGGACTATAGGCACCCGCCAACATGCTCACTAATTTTTGTATTTTTAGTAGAGACGGAGTTTCACCTTATTGGCCAGGCTGGTCTCGAACTCCTGACCTTGTGATCCATCCACCTTGGCCTCCCAAAGTGCTGGGATTACAGGTGTGAGCCACTGTGCCCAGCAAGCTGGCTTTAAGATTATGGTAAAATAATGATGTCTTTAGAATTGTTAGCATTTTGTTTGCATCTATTGATCAAGTAGTTTCATGTTTAATTCCTGCCAAATACTATAAGACTTGCCAAGATTTGCCATAAGGATTATAAACTATAAAACCTAGCCCAAGACAGAATAATCTTTGATTGTATATGATTATGAAATATTGTTGGCTTAAATAAAAACAGCTGAATACTGAGTTATTCATAAAACTAATCATAAGCTTTGTTACTTAGGTAAATACCTGAAATCCGCAGCTATAAAAATGGTTAATAGAAAAATAACTTTAAATATTTGCTATCACAGTTTTTTTGTAAATTATCTAGGTAAACTTAAATTAATCAGGTAAAGGTAATGGAATAAATACTTGTAAACAAACTTGTCATAATTTAGGATCTAAGGTTATTAATTGATATTAAGTATCTGGGCAATTTCCAATTTAACAATTACAGGAAAACAATTTTTTAAATGTTCTTATTAAAAGTAAAATATATTTGTCTAATTCAAGGCTTATTTAAGGGTTATGTATAAAACAATATAAAGGACTCAGGAAATAAGAGATGTAAAGAAAGTTAAAGATATAAAGATGTATTTTTGGTGAAAAAAAGTAAAAGGGACACTCAGTTTATATAAGAAAAGATCTTGCATAGTAAATTTTTGTCCTAAAATAAAAATGATGGTGTTGTACAAGAAAGAGAGATATTTAAGACAAAAGAGTCTAAACACATTGCGAATGAACTATGTAAGTCATAATAACGTTAGTAAAATAAATTTTTTAAAGGGGCTGTATAATTCAGTTGGCTATAATCAAAAAGAAATCATAATAATATTCCTAGAGATGGCTATTTAATATTAAAACATACACTAGTACGAAGCTAAATAATTGTTTAAAACAAATTTTTATTACAAGTATTGATTTATTTTGAATGCAAGACGTTTTTAAATTTTTAAATTCTATAATCTGTTTCTTTAACATTCTTCAAGTTGATATCTTAAAAGTGCCACTCTTTCTTTTAAAAAGGCCTTGAACGGTGGTCCTTCACCTTTTTTTTTTTTTTGGCTCCTATGACTTTTACTAATTATCTAAAGTAAAGGAGAAAAATTGTTTTTGAAAACAGGCAAATAAAGTATCTTTTGAACATGACTTTTATTCTGCATGCCTATTATATCTCTATCTTTATATGTGTCATATAGAAGTGATATTTCACTACCAAACTACATGAAAGAGCTCTAATCAAGTAACTTAAAAAATGTAAGTGCTTATTAGATTGGTAATAGCTAGCTCGGATGCCTTTTGATTTACATAACCTTGGTAATGTTTTAAAAAATTAAATTTGGTAAATTTAATCTTAAAACATTCTTCAGTAATTTAACATCTTAAAGTCATGATAAAACCTCAGTTTTTTTCCCCACTGGAAATTTGGGTTACTAAAAGTTAAAAATAGTAGGAACATAAAAATGCTTTTGGTAAAATTTTATAAAACCAAAAGATATCAATTTTCAAAGAAATGTAAGGTTTTTGGTTAAGAAACTATTTAAGGGTTTCTTTATAATGAAGGAAATTCTACAGATAAAACTAAATTGATTTTGAAAACCAAGCTCTGGCAGCAAAAGTTGACTCTGAGCGCTGTGGTTACCAAGAAAACAGTTGATATGGGGGAAGGGCAAAACTGAGTAACTAGTTAAAACCAAAGCGTGTAATATAAAGAAATTGTTCCATTTGGTAGATCGGTGTAATTCAGCTTCTAAAAAAAAAAAAAAACCTTTACTATAGTGAATTGTAAAAATAACCACTTTAAAGACATTTAAAGAAAGACAAAATTTTTAATTTTAAATGCTACAGAATTTAAGAGCATGTTTGGATTAATGTAGGACGCACAGCTCATTACTGAACAGTCACTGAGTATATGTGATCCAAATGCACAGGGGGTTATTCCTGAAAAAGCAATCAGCCTAGTGGGCCAGATAATGCCATTATAAGGTCTGTTTGCCCTGAAAAGGAGGCTGCCCAACTCTCCCTCCAAAATACCAAGTAAAGTACCCCAGAAAAACCAGTTATTCTGTTTCTTATGCAAGCCATGTTGGAATAGCTTTATGATAACTGGGATATCATCCCACCCAATCCCACCTAATGTGTCTGTTACCCTGGTCATGGTAAATTTGGGGGTTAAGGGGGCCACTTTTACATGGGTGCCCCTCCCACAGAACCATAGGTCTTTTTAAAAGCCTTATCTAATCTGCTGTCCCTCATAGATGCAGCTCCCTGCTGGGAACCCAAACCCTTTTCACCAGAAAAGGCCAAATGGTCTGGGGGTAAAAAAAAAAGGCTTCCTGGGAACAGAACATGAAAACATACAAATTAATAAAATTATAAAATATAAGATGTTTAAACAAGCTTTATGTAGGTTAGTTGTAACCCCTTTTTGTCTTATAAAAATGGGTACTATATCTAACTGAAGGGTGGTTTTCCTTTTCTAGTACTATAAAACTGAAGACGTGTAAATCTGCTCATGTAAATCCTCCACTGGATAGCCTTTTGTGTGAAGCACTTATCAGGGCTGATAGCAAAAACTGTAAATACTTTTCAACAACAACAACTGAGGTAGAGAGGTTCTACTTGATGGTCATTTACTGCCTTGCCGTGGAATATTAACTAAAGCTACCCGTATATTAATGAAAATAATGTTTCCCAAAAAGTTCCATGATTAAATAAAAATGGTTTACATAAAATCTTGCTACCTAATAAGCAAAGAGCCTCTTTTCTAGGACTAATCCTAAGGAACTGCTAAATTCCAGAGTGCCTAATAGCTCTCCTGAGCTGTTTGGTTTGTAAATGACATTTCCAAAGTAAACAACATCTTGTCTTAAAAGCTGCTGCTCTGGTTAAAGGAGGGTCAGGAAAATCTTTTTCTTTTAAGTGATTTGGGTAAAGTATGTTTTCGTAAGCAAATTTACTTTCTGAGTTCTGCAAAATTCAAATTGCAATTTTATGACAATATAGTTACCTGCATAAGTTCAATGATAGTTTTTTTTTTTTTTAAACAACTGGAGACACTGGTTATTTTACCAAGACTGAAACTAAAACAGTCTATTTTTAGATAAAGTTTCAGCAAAACGAACTTTATAGAGAGTCTATACAGCCAATTTCTTTCTGCATTTTATGCAAATAATCAGGCAAGCATAATAAGCCAAAAACTAACCTTGCACACAAATTGTCCTTGCTGTAATATTGTCTTTAATAAAAAAGGCAACTAAAAAAATGTTTAAAGGGTAAAGTGTAACACTTCATACTAAATTTCAGCCTTAATTTTTTTTTTTTTTTTTTTTTAGGACGGAGTCTTGCTCTGTCGCCCAAGCCAGAGTGCAGTGGCACAATCTTGGTTCACTGCAATTTCTGCCTCCCCGGTTCAAGTGATTCTCCTACCTCAGCCTCCTGGGTAGCTGGAATTACAGGTGCCCGCCACCACACCCGGCTAATTTTTTTGTATTTTTCTTAGAGACGGGCTTTCACCATGTTGGCCAGGCTGGTTTCGAACTCCTGACCTCAAGTAATCTACCTGCCTAAGCCTCCCAAAAGCCCTGACTTTTTAAGTGCAGATTAAAACATTATTTCTTGGCTATAATAATCCTCTAAAAAGTACCGGATTATAATTTTTCTTCATGTTTTTAGTTGGTGTCCTAATGGAATAGGTTCCTCTTTCTGTTTTAACATACAAATTACTCTTATAACTGCCAAACAATAAATGTTATTTATCTCTTTTTGTTTTACTTCCAAGGAAACCAAAATCATGGTATTCTGAAGGCCAGAGATATGAATCTCCGTCATTTGGCATCCCACTGGGATCGGATTTGTTTCACTACTAATGCTCTGCTGCTAAAACCATACAAGTTGCCTCCCTCTAGGCCCAGGGACTACTGCGGAAGAGGTGGGTGCGTTAAGATCGTAAAGGCTGGGTTTGAGGAATAAAATTAGGACAAAATCAAACCCTCTAAATCAAGAACAGGATACTAAAAAAAAAATGCCTAAACAGCTGGTAAAACAAGTTTAGTTGCCTTCTAAAGTATGATGTGTCACTTTTGCATCCAACCCAACCATAAAAATTTTGTGCTTACTATAAAATTAAAGGAAAATGTTTGCTAACAGGATAAAATAACTTTTAACAAAGCCTCCTGGGTATAATACACCCAATTATAAGTTGTGACGATAAATATATCACGAGATATATATATCTCTATATCATTATTTATATATTATATATAATATATATATGTATTTTTGTATTTTTATATATATTTTATATTTATTTTATACTTATATATAAATATAAATAATTTATATATATAAATATATAAAAATAAATATATATTTATATGAATATATATATAAAAATATATAAATATATATATATAAATATATATAAATGTATAAATATATATTTATATATAAAAATATATTTATATATAAAAATATATAAAAATATATAAATATATATTTATATATATAAATATATAAATATATATATATAAAAATATATAAATACATAAATATATATTTATATATAAAAATATATATAAATATATAAATATATTTTTATATATAAAAATACATATTACTATATAAATATATAAAAATATATATAAATATATATTTATATATATATTAATATATATTTATAGATAAAAATATATATTAATATATCTTTATAGATAAATATATCTAAATATATCTTTATAGATAAATATATCTATAAATATATCTTTATAGATAAATATATCTATAAATATATCTTTATAGATAAATATATCTTTATAGATAAATATATCTATAAATATATCTTTATAGATAAATATATCTATAAATATATCTTTATAGATAAATATATCTTTATAGATAAATATATCTATAAATATATCTTTATAGATAAATATATCTATAAATATATCTTTATAGATAAATATATCTATAAATATATCTTTATAGATAAATATATCTATAAATATATCTTTATAGATAAATATATCTATAAATATATCTTTATAGATAAATATATCTATAAATATATTTATACTGTGCAATGGCACAGTCTCAGCTCACCGTAACCTCTGCCTCCCAGATTCAAACGATTCTCTTGCCTCAGCCACCTGACTAGCTGGGATTACAGGCATGTGCCACCACGCCCAGATAATTTTGTATTTTTAGTAGAGGTGGGGTTTCTCCATGTTGGTCAGGCTGGTCTCGAACTCCCAACCTCAGGTGATCTGCCCGCCTCAGCCTCCCAAAGTGCTGGGGTTACAGGCACGAGCCACTATGCCTGGCCTGATAAATACATATTTTTAATTATTTTTCAGAACAATGTTTATGTTTTATATAGCTAATTGCTATAAGTATGTAACAGAAACCAAGCTTACAGCTCAACACATAAAAGATAAAAATAAGTCAGTCTTGTAACTTTGCCTTTTGGTGTTTTTTTTTTTTTTTTTACTTAAAATGATAATTTTAGGAAGTAATTAATGCCTGTCTACATCTGTTCCTAGATGGCCTAGAACAATTAATTGGCTATCAGTCTTTTAACTCTTAAGGCCCTCAGCCATAGAGAGTCCTGCCTAGGAAAAATAACACTGTAGAATTACGTGGCTTCTCCTCTGACAAAACCTTTTCTCTCCCAAATACCAGTATATGGTGCAATACAAAAGTTGAGGGAGGCTGGGTGCGGTGGCTCATGCTTGTAATCCAGTACTTTGGGAGGCCGAGGCGGGTGGATCACCTGAGGTCAGGAGTTCAAGACCAGCCTGGCCAACGTGGTAAAACCCTGTCTCTACAAAAAATACAAAAAACTAGCCAGGCACAGTGGCGCGTGCCTGTAATCCCAGCTACTCGGGAGGCTGAGGCAGGAGAATTGCTTTAATTCAGGAAGTGGAGGTTGCAGTGACCCAAGATCGTGCCACTGCACTCCAGCCTGGGCTACAGAGTGAGACTCCGTCTCAAAAAAAAAAAAAAAAAGTTGGAGGAAAAAATAGATTTGTCTACTATTAACAAGTCTATAACAATTTAAACACCAAGGGCCAGGCATTTCTTGCATTTAATTTATACCCTCCTCAGGATGCTACACCTATGGAGATAAATTGGCCACAACAGAGATTAAATTTATTAAATTCTAATATAATGTTGGTCCCACAATTTTCAAATAATATTTATCACAGTGTTCAAATAACCCTTAATAGGGAGGGTAAACACATTGTATGTCTGATCAAAGAATATAGTGATGCATGCAGGGTTTTTTGTTTGTTTGTTTGTTTCTGCTGATTGGGTTGTTTACTGCCCTCAAATTCTACCTATAACCTTGGACACCCAAATCTTCGCTGTCTTTTAATGTTTGTTACTATATTTACATAAAACATTTCTTGTAAATGTTATGCCAGATATAGCAGAAAGAAAGGCAGAATTCAAGACCCGGATCATGATAGCTCAGAAAATATATCTGATCCAGGATTTTTTAGACTAAGTCCTAGGCCTGACTCCATCTCACCTCTTAAGCAATTGGCTATTATATCCGGTCAGACTATGTCTTTCCACAATTATCCAAATAGTTAATATTTGAAACTGAAAGGTGACAGTGTGCTGGCAGTCCTCAGAGCCCTCGCTTGCTCTGGGCACCTCCCCTGCCTGGGCTCCCACTTTGTGGCATTTGAGGAGCCCTTCAGCCCCCCACTGCACTGTGGGAGCCCCTTTCTGGGCTGGCCAAGGCTGGAGCCCACTCCCTCAGCTTGCAGGGAGGTGTGGAGGGAGAGGCGTGAGCGGGAACCGGGGCTGGGTGTGGCGCTTGCGGGCCAGCTGGAGTTCCGGGTGGGCGTGGGCTTGGTGGGCCCCACACACGGAGCAGCCGGCCAGCCCTGCCGGCCCTGGGCAATGAGGGACTTAGCACCCGGGCCAGCAGCTGCGGAGGGTGTACTGGGTCCCCCAGCAGTGCCAGCCCACCGGCGCTGTGCTCGATTTCTCGCCGGGCCTTAGCTGCCTTCCCTCGTGGCAGGGTTCGGGACCTGCAGCCCGCCATGCCTGAGCCTCCCACCCACTCCATGGGCTCCTGTGCGGCCCGAGCCTCCCCGATGAGCACCACCCCCTGCTCCACAGCGCCCAGTCCCATCGACCACCCAAGGGCTGAGGAATGCGAGCACACGGCACAGGACTGGCAGGCAGCTCCACCTGCAGCCCCGGTGCGGGATCCACTAGGTGAAGCCAGCTGGGCTCCTGAGTCTGGTGGGGACGTGGAGAGTCTTTATGTCTAGCTCAGGGATTGTAAATACACCAATCAGCACCCTGTGTTTAGCTCAAGGTTTTTGAGTGCACCAACTGACACTCTGTATCTAGCTGCTCTGGTGGGGACGTGGAGAGTCTTTATGTCTAGCTCAGGGATTGTAAATACACCAATCAGCACCCTGTGTTTAGCTCAAGGTTTTTGAGTGCACCAACTGACACTCTGTATCTAGCTGCTCTGGTGGGGACGTGGAGAACCTTTATGTCTAGCTCAGGGATTGTAAATGCACCAATCAGCACCCTGTGTTTAGCTCAAGGTTTGTGAGTGCACCAATCGACACTCTGTATCTAGCTGCTCTGGTGGGGCCTTGGAGAACCTTTATGTCTAGTTCAGGGATTGTAAACACACCAATCAGCACCCTGTGTTTAGCTCAAGGTTTGTGAATGCACCAATCGACACTGTGTATCTAGCTGCTCTGCTGGGGCCTTGGAGAACCTGTGTGTGGAAACTCTGTATCTAACTAATCTGATGGGGAGGTGGAGAACCTTTGTATCTAGCTCAGGGATTGTAAAGGCACCAATCTGCGCCCTGTCAAAACAGGCCACTCGGCTCCACCAATCAGCAGGATGTGGGTGGGGCCAGATAAGAGAATAAAAGTAGGCTGCCCCAGCCAGCAGTGGCAACCCGCTGGGGTCCCCTTCCACACTGTGGAAGCTTTGTTCTTTCGCTCTTGGCAATAAATCTTGCTACTGCTCACTCTTTGGGTCCACGCTGCTATTATGAGCTGTAACACTCACCGGGAAGATCTGCAGCTTCACTCCTGAGCCCAGTGAGACCACGAGCCCACCAGGAGGAACGAACAACTCCAGATGCACTGCCTTAAGAGCTGTAACACTCACCGCGAAGGTCTGCAGCTTCACTCCTGAGCCAGCGAGACCACGAACCCACCAGAAAGAAGAAACTCCGAACACATCTGAACATCAGAAGGGACGGACTCCAGACGCACCATCCTAAGAGCTGTAACACTCACCGTGAGGGTCTGCAGCTTCATTCTTGAAGTCAGTGAGACCAAGAACCCACCAATTCCGGACACAAAACTATTACCATCAAATCAGAGGACTCTAGGAACAAGCCTTCCTCGTGTCGTGGGACGTCGCCAAATGACCAGATCAAACACCTCTAGGAAAGAGCCTCCTAGAGCCATGGAACCTGTTTCTGTTTTGCTGTCCTGCATGTGCATTCTGTGGAATGCTTTTTGGCCAAGAGTGGGGACTGAGGACTAAGCTCTGATTTTTTATCTTGCCCAAATTCCTTTCCAAAAGATCTGGGGAGTCATGCCCTACAAACCATAAATTCCCATCAGATGAGTTTTATTTAATCCTGTATATCCTGACCTTGGTCTCCACAATCCTTTATCTTTAACCTGAACATTCTTTGCTATGGATGCCAGGTCTTTAGACAAACTCAACCAACTGTCAACAAGAAAATGTTTAAATTTACCTATAGCCTGGAAGCCCCCCGCTTTAAGTTGTCCCGCCTTTCTAAACCAAACGAATGTATTTCTTAAATGTATTTGATTGATGTCTCATGCCTTCCTAAAATATATAAAACCAAGCTGTACCCCAGCCACCTTGGGTAGGACCTCCTTAAGGCTGCGTCATGGGCCATGGTCACTCATATTTGGCACAGAATAAATCTCTTCAAATATTTTACAGAGTTTGACTCTTTTCATCAACACCTATATGCACTAATTTTTTTTCCAAACATGCGTACCTATAATAAACTTTATAAGTTAGTCACAATAAGAGATTAACAATAATAATTGATAATAATATAAAATTTTAACTTTATACCATAATAAAATTTCTCTCTCAAAATATCTTACTGTACTGTACTCACCCTTCTTCTTGTGATGATGTGAGATTATAAAATGCTTATGTGATAAGATGAAGTGAATGATGTAGGCAGTGTGACATAAATGGAAAATTCCAGAAATAATTCACAAGTTTTAAATTGCTTGCCTCTCTGGGTAACTTAAAATTCTCACACCACCCTGCTCCATCCCACCCAGATTGCCTTTAGGCACTTAGTAGCCATTTTAATTATCACATAACTGTTATATATCACAGTGTTTGTGTTCAACTAACCTTTATTTTACTTAATAATGGCCCAAAGCACAAGAGTAGTGATGTAGCATTTTCCGACCAAGGTTTACCATGAGTAACTGAAACCTAAGAAAGCAAAACCATGCATAAAAGGGGAGACTACTATGCAAATGAAAACTGTAAGATGCCATTTTTAGCATATAATTTTGACATTATTTTAGAATGCTCTATTACATACTGTTGTAAAGCCTGTGGAGAAATAGACACTCTGATAAGTTGATGGTAGGACTTAAAATAATACAACCTTTTTGAGAGCAACATGACAATATTTACCAAAGTAAAAAAATGTACTTACTGTGCGCCCCAGATATTTCATTTCTAGGAATTTTAACTTTTTGCCATAGATAGTTTACTGTGTTCATATAAATCATGCACAACTACATGTTTATACTTAAAATTATACTTACATATGTGTATATATGTATATACATTTATATGTATACACATATACCTGCAACTATATGAAGAAAATTATAAAATATCTTTGGACAGATACTAATACCAATGGTTGTTTTGAAGTAGAAATGTAAGCCTGAGGGGTGGGGTTGCTGGGAAACTCAGAGCCTGAAGGTCATTCATTGAAGAAAGAAATGTGATTTTCACTGGATTCCCTTTTATATTCTTTGACTTTTAGCATATGCATTATATATTCAGTAGTATATTTAATTATACAGTATGCATACATATTATCTATTATAGATATTTTAAAAACTAAAAGTGTCTGGTTTTGGTGCCTAGATATCTGAGCATCTAAACTAACAAATGAATGTTGTGTGTGAATTTAACAAATGATTTAAAAGCGATGGTCAAATTGGAAATGCAAAGATTTAAAGAAATAATTTCTTAGTCTAGGACCAGTATGATGTACAGAGGGTGGCTTTGATGAGAAAAGAGTATAGATTTAACATTCAAAAAATTATAGCCTAAACTTCTAGCTCTATTATTTACTGAGTATGTTAGTCTGACTCAAGTCACTAATCTCTATGAGCCTTACTTTCCACATCTGCAACTGGAATAAGAACACCTGCCCCATAGTGTTTTCTAAAGGATTCAATGAGACAATACGTGTAAATTGCCTAGTACAAAGCTAGTAGCATAGCAGGCACTCAATATATGTTCATTTGTAATTTTAAAAGTTATTATCAAAATATCTCTAAAGAATGACAGGGAGATGTGAGTTTATTTTTTCTTGGTATTATCCCTAACTAGGCACGGGTAAGGCAAGCCACTTATTTAAACACTCTGAACCTTATGTTTCTCGTTTGTAAAATTAGAATAATTATTCCACCTCACCTACCCCACAGAGTTTTGGAAGATTAATATGAGGTTCTGTATTGAAGAGCTTTGAGTATTAAAATACCAGAAGTATTATTATCATCCAAGAAAGATTAAATTATACTCTTTTTATACATCTCTGTTGATGAAGAAGATTTCACCAACTTCCCCTAGATGTTTTGAAGCTGTCTGTGGACTTCCATTCTGTTTATGATTCACTGGTAGAGAGATATGTTAAAGGAAGTATACAGAAAAAAATCTCTTTCCACAAAACTCAGTCTACTGCATACTTTCTCTCATTTCTCACTGCTCTTTTCAGGAACTGAAATCTGCAGAAGTTCTTGACTTCATTCTGAACTTCCTTGCATCACTCTGTTGTTTGACTGCCTAGAAGGAACTAACTGACAGAATGCAAATATTTTATCTGGTTAGGTAAAACCATTAACTCATTATAATCCACTTAGCTTAGATTACTGTGTGAATTACTAGCATCTAAAGAGAATAGAAGACTGAGGAAAAATGTAGGAAAGAAACAGAGCATGGAACCTGTCAGAAGAGGCTCTCTTCTGATGCGGTAAGGGTAGGGTTCATTGGGTAGCAAAAGGTAATGGTGGAATATCCCAGAAAAGGAATGAAATGTTGGAAAATAAAGTGGATTATCTTCACAATGTTTCCCAGAACCACACCCAAGGTCTCAGGCCTTTGAGTGCCTGAAGCCCAAAAACTTGTAAATAGGTTCAGAAGAATAATAAAGTTTTGAGACCCTACATGACCTTCCTCCAAAGTTTGAATCCTCTCTAGAAACATTTTTAACAAGTGATGGGGCTATATTTTTACTTGATTACCATCATTAACAAAGAACTCAATACATTCCCAGGCAATGAATTACGTCTTTGTTCTGTTCATGAACATTGGAAGGTTTTTCTCTTAAGTTGGGCTACGTAGTAATACAGATATTGCTATTTCATGTAAGAGTTCCTCAGCTCTCTGAAGACAGAAATCAGGGACATGTGGACTTCTCTTTACTCTAAACTCCAAGTTTCACCAACTCTTTTTACTCTGATTTAACATTCCTTTACCTTCCAGGTGTAGTCTGAGTAGTGTAAGGTACAGAAGGCCTATCAGCTCCTTTTTTCTGTTACCTTTCCTTCTATTAATGATTAATGTAGCATCTTGGAAGCCAAACTATGCCATTCTACTTTCTCACTTTGTGCTTACTGTTGAAAAACACCCTTGAGTTTTTGTTTGTTTGTTTGTTTGTTTTTTTGCTTGTTTGTTTTCCAGATTGGTTATGACTAAGCTATGCCTCACGTCTTTTACTCAGGTGGCCAATTGTGTGTATGTGTGTATGTGTTTGTGTATATGTATATACATGCATATATAGTGGTTATTTGGGGCTGAATTTGGAATGTATATCTTACAATTCTTTGTACAGTTTTCCAAACCTATTTTCTAAATTGTCTACAGAGAACATGCTCCTGGATTACAACATTATAAATATTGAAAGTTATAAAAACCAAACAAATATGCTATCCTTTTGGGGAGGCCTGAGTACTTAAACTACACACCTTGATAGCTCCTCCAGACATTAGCTCACTTTTTCCTGTAACAAAAAACTGAGTCAGCCATTGCAACACCTCAGCAGAGGGCAGAATATTGATCTCTGCTTGGAAGATGACAGAAAGGATACTATCTAGTGAGTATAGAATTGTGCTTAAGATTGTGGGTGTCTCACACGTCTGTGTGAAGAGACTACCAAACAGGCTTTGTGTGAGCAATAAGTCTGTTTATTTCACCTGGGTGCAGGTGGGCTGAGTCTGAAAAAGGAGTCAGCAAAGGGTGGTGGATTATCATTAGTTCTTATAGGTTTTGGGATAGGTGGTGGAGTTAGGAGCAATGTTTTTTGGGCAGGGGGTGGATCTCACAAAGTACATTTCCAAGGGTGGGGAGAATTGCAAAGAACCTTCTTAAGGGTGGGGGAGATTACAAAGTACATTGATCAGTTAGGGTGGGGCAGAAACAAATCACAATGGTGGAATGTCATCAGTTAAGGCTATTTTCACTTCTTTTGTGGATCTTTAGTTGTTTCAGACTATCTGGATGTATACATGCAGGTCACAGGGGATATGATGGCTTAGCTTGGGCTCAGAGGCCTGACATTCCTGTCTTCATGTATTAATAAGAAAAATAAAACGAACTAGTGGTAAAGTGTTGGGGCAGTGAAAATTTTTGGGGGTGGTATGGAGAGATAATGGGCGATGTTTCTCAGGGCTGCTTCGAGTGGGATTAGGGGCGGCGGGGGAACCTAGAGTGGGAGAGATTAAGCTGAAGGAATATTTTGGGGTAAGTGGTGATATTGTGGGGTTGTTAGAAGGAGCATTTGTTGTATAGAATTATTGATTATGGCCTGGATGCAGTTTTGTATGAATTGAGAAACTAAATGAAAGACACAAAGTCCAAATAAGAGAAGGAGAAAAACAGCTATTAAAGGACTAAGAATTGGGAGTACCCAGGACATCAAACTACAGAGTGTTCAAGGGGGTTCAGTGTAATTATTTGCTTGGTTGGTGAGTTTTTGGGCTCTATCCTTGAGTTTTTTTATGTTGGAGCCACTGAATACCAAGAGCCTGAGAAACTGCTTGGGTGATTTGACTAATAAAGGCTCGTCCGTCATTGGACTGTATAGAGGTGGGGAGGCCAAACAGAGGAATTAGGTCTGACAGAAGGGAAGAAATGACCTCAGTGGCCTTCTCAGACCCTGTGGGAAAGGCCTCTACCTATCCAGTGAAAGTGTCTACCCAGACCATGAGGTATTTTAGTGTCCTGACTCGGGGCATGTGAGTAAAGCCAATTTGCCAGTCCTGGGCAGGCGCAAATCCCCAAGCTTGATGTGTAGGGAAGGGAGGGGGCCTGAGAAATTTCTGAGGAGTAGTAGAATAGCAGATGGAATACTGAGAAGTGATTTCCTTAAGGATAGATTTCCATGATGGAAAGGAAATGAGAGGTTCTAAGAGGCGGGCTAGCGGCTTGTAACCTACATGGAAGAGGTTATGAAATGACAATAGAATAGAATGGGCCTGTGAGGCTGGAAGGAGATATTTTCCTTGGTCCAAGAATCATTTGCCTTTTGAGTGAAGAGATTGATAGGTGGAAGTTTCAGTGGGGGAGTAGGTGGGAGTGACCAGATGAGAAGAAGAAAAAATGCCGTGAGGGATAGAAGTTGGAACGCTAGCTGATTTTTAAGCTACCTTATCAGCATAAGCATTGCCCTGAGCGATGGGATCTGATGCCTTCTGATGGCCCTTGCAGCGTATGACTCCAGCTTCCTTTGGAAGTAAAGTGGCCTTGAGAAGAGTTTTTATTAAAGAGGCATTAATGATGGAGGACCCTTGCATAGTGAGGAAACCTCTTATTGCCCATATAACAGCATGGTGGTGCAGCATATGGAAGGCATATTTAGAGTCAGTATAAATATTGACACATAGTCCTTTTGCAAGAGTCAGGGCTCGAGTTAAGGCAATGAGTTCAGCTTGCTGAGAGGTAGTGGAGGGAGGCAGAGCAGTGGCCTCAATGATAGATGTAGAAGATACTATAGCATAGCCTGCCTTTGCTGGCAAGTGGTGATTAGGCCTGGTGGAAGTGCCATCAATAAACCAAGTGTGATCAGGGTGAGGAACAGGAAAGAAGGAAATATGGGGAATAGAGTGAATGTCAGGGGATCAGAGAGATACACTCATGGGGGTCAGGTGTGGTATCAGGAATAATGTGGGAGGCCAGATTGAAGTCTGGGCCAGGAACAATGGTAATTGTGGGAGACTCAACAAAGAGTGAGTATAGCTGAAGGAGCCAGAGGGCAGAAAGTATATGCGTCAGGTGTGAGGAAGAAAATAGATTTTGAAAGTTATGGGAACTGTAGAGAGTAAGTGGAGCATAGCTTGTGATGTTGAGGGCCTCTAAAAGTATTAAAGCAGTGACAGCTGCCACATACAGACATGAGGGCTAGGCTAAAACAGTAAGGTCAAGTTGTTTGGACAGAAAGGCTACAGGCGTGGTCCCGGCTCTTGGGTAAGAATTCTGACTGCACAGCCCTGTTCTTTGGCTGTGTGTAATGAAAAGGGTTGGGAAGAGTTAGGGAGAGCCAGCATGGGGGCAGCTTCTAGGGCTGTTTTTAAGGAATGGAAAGAGGAGTGGCAAAAGGATTTAGGATCTATGGGGTCAGCTAGGTTTGCTTTTGTGAGTTTACATAATGGTTTAATCAGGATGGTAAAACTAGGTATCCAAAGGCAGAAGTACCTAACCATGCCTAGGAAGGAAAGGAGTTATCATTTTGTAGAAGGGGTTTGGGTTTGGGAGATTAACTGGACACAATCAGCAGGGAGAGCACGTGTGTTTTCATGAAGAATTATGCCGAGATAGGTAACAGATGAGGAAGAAATTTGGGCTTGACTGAGGTAATGGGGGCTGTCCGTGAAGCCTTATGGCGGTACTGCCCAGGTAATTTGCTGGGCCTGATGGGTGTCAGGGTCAGTCCAAGTGAAAGTAAAGAGAGGCTGGGATGAAGAGTGCAAAGGAATAGTAAAGAAAGCATGTTTGAGATCCAGAACAGAATAATGGGTTATGGAGAGGTTGTGGAGGGAGGTATTGAGGATAGGAAAGTATATGGGTTTGGCACCACAGAGTGGATAGGCAAGACAATTTGTTTGATAAGGCTCAGATCCTGAACTAAACTGTAAGGCTTGTCCGGCTTTTGGACAGGTAAAATGGGGGAATTGTAAGGAGAGTTTATAGGCTTTAAAAGGCCATGCTGTAACAAGTGAGTGATAACAGGCTTTAATCCTTTTAAAGAGTGCTTTGGGATGGGATATTGGCATTGAGTGGGTAAGGGTGATTAGGTTTTAACAGGATAGTAATGAGCATGTGATCAGTTGCCAGGGAGAGAGTAGAGGTGTCCCATGCTTGTGGGTTAAAGTGTGGGGATACAAGAGGAGGATGCGAAGGAGGCTTTGAACTGAGGAAAAGGTGGCAATGAGGTGTGAGGTGTGACTGTAGCCCAGGAATAGTCAGGGAAGCAGATAATTTAGTTAAAATGTCTCAACCTAATAAAGGAGCTGGGCAGGTGGGGATAATTAAAAAGGAGTGCATAAAAGAATGTTGTCCAAGTTGGCACTAGAGTTGGGGAGTTTTAAGAGATTTAGAAGCCTGGCTGTCAATACCCATAACATTTATGGAGGCAAAGGAAAAAGGCCTTTGAAAAGAAGGTAATGTGGAGTGGGTAGCCTCTGTATTAATTGAGAAGGGGATGGACTTACCCTCCACTGTAAGAGTTACCCAAAGCATCTGTGATGGTCCAGGAGGCTTCTGAGGTGATCCGGCAGTGTCAGTCTTCAGCCGCTAAGCTGAGAAGATCTGCTGGGAAGGAGTCAGAGACTTGGGCCAGTTGGACAGTCCAATTTCCAGTGGAGTCCCACACAGAAGGGACATGGCTTAGGAGGAATCCTGGGCTGTGGGCATTCCTTGGCCCAGTGGCCAGATTTCCAGCACTTGAAGCAAAATCCTGGGGCAGGAAGTCCTGAAGGAATGCCTGACCGCTGTGGCTTAGGAGTTTTGAAGTTTTTGTCTGCTGGATATATGGCTGGGGTTTCTCTCACAGCAGAGGCAAGTAATTGCAACTCTTCTCTATTATCGTACACCTTGAAGGTGAGGTTAATTAAGTGCTGTTTTGGGGTTTGAGGGCTGGAATTTAATTTTTGGAGCTTTTTTCTAATGTCAGGAGCTGACTGGGTGATAAAATGCATATTAAGAATAAGGCGGCCTTCTGGCCCCTCTGGGTCTAGGGTGATAAAGCATCTAAGTGTTGCTGCCAAACAGGCCATGAACTGGGCTGGGTTTTCATCTTCACCTTGGGTAGTTTCTTTAAGTTTGTCATAATTAACAGCTTTGTGAGCTGCCTTTTTAAACCCTTCAACTGGGCAGGAAACCATGTAATCTCACCTAGCTATACCTGGGGAATCTGCCTGATAGTTCCATTGGGGATCTTCTTGGTCTAATGTCTTCCTGGAGGTCTGGCCCATGAAGCCAGTGGTTATCAGCATGAGATTGGGCTAGAGAAAAAACTATTTCCCATTCATCTGGGGAGAGGGTAGAAGTTAGGATGACATTTAAGTCACTCCAGGTTAAATTGTAGGACAGAGTTAGATATCGGAATTCCTGTATATATTCAGTGGGGTCTGATGAGAAAGAGCCTAAACGCTGGCTGATGTGGGAAAGGTCTGATAGAGAAAAAGGCACATGTACACTGACTATGCCTTCAGCTCCAGCCACCTCTCTAAGAGGAAATTGTTGGGCAGGTTGGGGAGAACTAGTCGCAGAACAAAACTGTAAGCCAGACCAGATGTGGGGAGGGGAGGTGATAGAAGACTTATAGGGTGGGGGAGCAGAAGCTGAAGAAGAATTAGGACCTGGCTCCTGCCTGGTGAGGAGCAGCCTGGGGAGAAGGGGAGAGGTCAGATGAGTCCGTAGAAAAAAAGGATTCAAAGGACTCAGAGCTTGGGGTGGAGACTGAAGGAACAGACAGGAGAAAAAGAAGAAAGATTTGGGACGAGTCACATTGGGAGCAGAGACTAGGGAGGGACCAATGTGTAAAAGAATGCCTGGACATCAGGCACCTCAGACCATTTGCCCATTTTTTGACAAAAATTATCTAGGTCTCGTAGGATGGAAAAATCAAAAGTGCTGTTTTCTGGCCATTTATAACCATTATCGACTTTGTATTGGGGCCAAGCGGAGTTGCAGAAGAAAATAAGATGTTTAGATTTTAGGTCAGGCAAGAGTTGAAGAGGTTTTAAGTTCTTGAGAGCACAGGCTAAGGGAGAAGAAGGAGGAATGGAGGGTGGAAGTTTGCCCATAGTGAAGGAGGCAAGTTTAAAGAGAAGGGTAGAGACACCGAGAAGGGGGTGGGGAGCAGCCCTGGGCTGCAATGTGGGTGAGCAGCCAAAGTAGGCGTCTCTGCAATTGACATGCCACCAAAGGAATGTGGGTGAATGACCAAGGCAGGTGTCCCCGCAGAGATCAAACACCAATGGAATGTGGGTGAATAATCAGGCAGGCATCCCCACAATGATTAAACACCAAGGGAAGGCTGCCTTCTCGAGTCCGTGACCAGCGCTGGAGTTTTGGGTCCATGGATAAAATGTGGCTCCTTTGTCTCTACCAGAAAATGAAAGGAATTGAAATTCAGAGAAGGGAGAGATTGAAGGGTGGCACCAAGATTGAAAGGAGAAAGAAGTTGAGGGATAGTGAGAGAGGTTGGAGAAGAGAGTAAAAAGAGGCCGCTTACCCAATTTAAAATCGATGCAATGTTCCTTGGGCTGGTTGGTCTGAGGACCTGAGGTCATAGGTGGATCTCTTCACGGAGTGAGGGTGAGGACAGGGGACTGGTCTCCCGAAGGAGTCTCGCTGACCCCAGTCTTCAGCACCAAATGTCTCACGCGTCTGTGTGAAGAGACCACCAAACAGGTTTTGTGTGAGCAATAAGGCTGTTTATTTCACCTGGGTGCAGGTGGGCTGAGTCTGAAAAAGGAGTCAGCAAAGGGTGGTGGATTATCATTAGTTCTTATAGGTTTTGGGATAGGTGGTGGAGTTAGGAACAATGTTTTGCAGGCAGGGGGTGGATCTCACAAAGTACATTCTCAAGAGTGGGGAGAATTACAAAGAACCTTCTTAAGGGTGGGGGAGATTACAAAGTACATTGATCAGTTAGGGTAGGGCAGAAACAAATCACAATGGTGGAATGTCATCAGTTAAGGCTATTTTCACTTCTTTTGTGGATCTTCAGTTGTTTCAGGCCATCTGGATGTATACATGCAGGTCACAGGGGATATGATGGCTTAGCTTGGGCTCAGAGGCCTGACAGTGGGCTCTAGAACCAAACTGGCTGTCTCTGTAAGTGACTCAGGGCAAGTTATTTAACTTCTCAGTGTGTTCTCATTTTTCATTTGTTAAATGGGAATATTTATGTAACATGCCTCCTAAGGTTATTTCTATGATTAAATGAGCTAAGACAAGCAAAGTGCTTATAGTAGAGTCCAGTACATAGCAATTGCTCAATAAATTATTGCTATTATTTTTATTAATAATAATAATAAACCACAAAGACTTAAGCCAGTATATAGTGTAGGATCCAATATGTGAATTTGTTAGGATCTGCCATAATTTACATGTTTTATAAGAATGTGGACCTTGGTCACATAGAAGAACTACACATACTTGCATTTCTCATTTCTGAAAATAGGATGCTATATTTTCCTCCTTTTTCTTTCCTTTGTTCATTCTTCCTTCCTTTTTTTTTTAGTTTTCTCTCTTTCTTTCTTAATTTATGTTTTTTTAATTCATTGTATAAAAAAGCACTTATTTTGAGATCACTATGGTACATAATTTATTGACTTGACTGTATCTAGAAATTTAAGTACTACTAACTTTTCCAACTGTATATACACCAGTCATGAACCTAGAAATTCATGCAAATTGGATATCTTTTGTTATATTTTTTTCTTTGCTACATATGCCTGTCAAGACATCAATGAAGCAGCCGATGGTATTTCTTCCCTTGCAGTTTCCAATCTCAAGTAGAAACTGCAGTTCAAAGGGAATAATGATCTAAATGGTTTTGAGTTTAAGAAAAAAAAAATCCCAAACAATTCTGTTTCTCCCAGTGATGATGTATACTCTTTAAAAGCTTCTTTTAAGCTCATTTGAAGACTACCCGGCATTGCCCAGTGTATAATCTCCACTTAAGATCAAATCATCTCATTCATGTTCAATCAAAGAAAGGATTGGTGGTAAAGATAATTAGGACTTCTCATTCCCTTGGGGTGGTCTAGCCAGAAATGACGCTATCTGAGGCAGTCCTACTGAAACAGTTTACTGAATATAGCACAAAAGACTTGAAGTACTTTCACTTCCATTCCACCTAGCCCAAATATCAACATGGTATTTAGAATTCCCACAATGGTTTCTAACATTTGACCTATTTCATTTTGATTTTCTGTGTGGTCTAACTGAAGCAGTATGAACATGTGAAAAAGCATTGGACTGACAGGAGACTTTGTTTCATAGCTTGAAGGATTTTTCAGTGATAAAATATTTCTGAAGGCTTACTTTTTTTTCTCTTGGATTTGCTTTGTAGCTTTGGGCAGGTAATCTCACTTTCCTGAGCTTCTGTTTCCTTTACTGTAATACCAACGTGATTACACAACCAGATGATAACCTCTAGGAAAGAAGAACTAACTCTATATCATACTTGGTTATAACATTGTAACATCTAGCATAGTACCTTATACTCAGCAGGCCATCAGAAAATATTTTGTATTTGGAAATACTTGTCCTGTTTTCCTCAAAAAATTGTTGTGAGGAATAATTGAGATACTAAATGTGAAAGTTATTTGAAGATGAAGAATTACATAATTGATATTTTGACCTATAATTAAGAGTAACTAATATTACTTTGGCTTTTTAAAGCACTTTTACATACATTTTTTTCTCTTCATTCCATGAAGTGGATGATTTTATTGTTTCAGTTTATAGATGAATAAATTGTGTCATAGGAAATTACTCAACTAGTCAGGAATAAAAGAGAAATACTGCTGTAGATTTTTGGAATGGCTCTGAATTTGCTTTTCTATTCTAATTTGGTCAATCTTATACTAAACCAAACACATGAAATATGTAATACTTGGCCTACAAGATGAAGTGCCATTTACTTTTAAAGGTAGTATGTGGTTTCTTTTTCCTCTCTGCTTTCACACTTGATTTGTAAAAGTCATTGTTAAAGCTGCAGCATTACTAAAGATGCAACTCATGCTTTTACAAAAGCTGAATTGCAAACTGACAGGCACTGGATCAAGGGCACATTCTCAACAGTAGAAGAAAAAGAAAACACTTCTTGTTCTAACACGTAAACAAAGAAAGACTCCCATTGTAAGTTTTCCAAAACTTTTGGGAAAGACAGTTTAATGTTGAGTTCTCATGTTGAGTATGCTGGTATCTATTGTCATAGTTTAAATGAAAAAAAAAATACACCAATTCTACAGAAATTAAACTTCTTTATTTTATTATTATTACTTTTTTTAGTGGCCAAGGGCTTACACTTAATGGCCTCTGAAGTCATGCGTTTTAATTTCATAGTATGTGAACTACCCTCCTCCACAAGCAATTCAAAATGGTATTTTTCTCAAGTCAAGGACAAACACAGGTGCTTTATGGGGAATGATTCTGAAAAATCTGTTGTTTGATAGAGTACGGCTTTATTTTTCTTGAACCTGGTAGGCATCTTGTGCCACTCGGAGGAAAAATGTTCCTTCTCCCCAGCAAGGTTACTGTTTGCAATGAGCATTAAAAGATAGCTTTAAGCCATCCACAATTATGACCTTGACTAGGAAAATGTAAGTTAATAAGGCTTCAACAAATTATGGTCTTTTTGGTCGATTTGCCTAGTGAACTGTTAATTGTAAAACTGAAAGACATTATGTTCAGATTTCTCTATCACATCTTTTGTGTTTTAACAGTGACACTTCATTGAGTGCAATTAACAAAGCCTAGGAGATTTATTAACACACTTCTTCATGGCCAATGATCCATTCCACTTAAGACATAACACTGTAAAATGCACATTATCTCCTTTTGGCACTTACAATAATGCTTCATGAACTAGGAAGGCATATGTTAAACCAGATAAAATAGCATTATTAGCTGACAAATCTTACAATTTATTAGACAGTTAATTTATCAACTTAAAAGACACTTAAAACAGCTGTGAATTTAATGTCTTTTTAATGTATCCAGTAAAACTTGCATAATTGCCTGTAGTGCAATTTATTTTTAGCTATGTTGCAAAATGTCTGCATTTACTGTTTACATCTTCTTTAATTTTTCCTGCAAGGGTCATCACATCTCTGCCTGAGCCCTAACAGCAAAGGCCAATAATCAGACAAAAAGCCTCCTCAAACAAATGGTTCCCCATGAATGAACTATTCAAAAATGCAGGCTGCTTGGGACCCAGTAATTGTTAGCATTTTATCTCCACCCCAAGGGCAAAGGCAGAGATTCCAAAAAAATAAAATTCAGGAATAAAACCAGGGTGCTTGAATCAGTAGGCTGTAGTCTGGTCAGGGGCTCTTTCAAGCCTTCACATCAAAATCAGGCAGCAACTACTTGTCTAAGCATTTGTATTTGAAGCCCATTTCGAACTACAGATCTGGAGAATGAACAAGGCTTTCAGACTACATTAGCAAGGTTGTTTCATTTTATAATTAAGGTAACAACTCCCTGTTGATCAATTGGTTTATTCCCAAGTACTGCACTAGTGAAGCAAGAGTGCAAGAGAAATGTATGAGATAAGACACATTTCATGGATCTGACTTGTCAATTGTTTCTGTTTGTTTATTGCTCTTTAATTTAATGGAAACTTCATTAAAGCTTTATATTTTCTACAGAATCATTCACAGTAATGATGTCTGGGGGAAATGAGGCTAGTTATTATTAAAACAAAAAGTCAAACAGTGCATATTGTGCCTAATGAAACAACTGAAGATTTGATCTTTGGTCTTTAAGAGGGTTTGCAATAGCCTACTAAAAGAAGAGACCGCTGATTACTAGTTGTAAAGTTTAACTTCTTTCTCCTCATCTCATGTAAGCTTGCCCACAGCTGGAAAACTGAGGCATGTGTTCATTTTATAGATGATGAGTGATAACCAAAGGCAACTTTTCCTTTCTACTTACTTGAAGGCTTCTTATGGTTTCTGAACTTAATCTAAATCTTTCAGGCTGCTTTTAAAACTTGAAATTACAAAAAATGAGGAAATATATGTGCTCACATGTATGCACACATGTAGCATTAAAATAACTGGCAGAATTACCTATTTGTTGGAAGAAGAGAAGTATTTCTGCTCTTGATTGGCCAGCATGTCAGGTAGCAGGATTAATGATATCTGAACTTCACATCCAGTCCCTACTTATTCAATATTGAAGCCAATATAAATTAAGCAAAATGGCAGAAAAGAGAAATTTATACATTTTGCCTTCGATTTTCTAATCTGTTTTCCATTGGTGTGTGTTTTTCTCTAGAAACTTGCAAGTATCTGTGTGCTGCTGAGAAAGATCTATATTCTCAAAACTTAGTGAAAGAGGAAAAAGGCAGCATGGCTAAGAGGAGAAGCCGTTATACTGGGGCACATGAGTCAATAGTGAGAGACTTTCTGTAGACATGCAAAACAATGCAAGACCACGTTAAGTCTGAATTAAATTGTTCTAGTGAAATTCTTACCTAAGTGAGAAGTTAGTTCTGAGGAGACTCAGAAACTCTGTCATAAGGTACTAACTTTATCATCTAGCCAGAATAATCTGAATGATTGTTTTACATAATTTATACTTGCTTTTTTAAAAACTGGACCGATTATTATAAAAATTGAGACCTTTCATGTGTGTACACTTAAGTCTTTACATCTTGCTTTACATATTCACAATAGCCCTGCAGGGTAGATATTATTATCACCACCAGTGTATAGATGAGAGAAAAGAGACTCAAAGTGACTTGCCAAAGATCACTTATCATGTAAATCTTAGAGCTGGGGTAAAAACTCACCACTGTCTTTTAATCCCATTTTTTTCCTCTCTATTACTGCTGCCTGAGACTGGCACCATAGAAAAATATTACCTAGATTGAAGATCTGGTTAAAGATTTTTTTAAAAGTAAAAAATTACTACCTCTATAAAAGACCTCTAATTTCATTACTTAATAAAAAGGCATACACACAGAGCTCTACATCTTCTAAAACTTACTTGATTGGTTGCTCTGAGAAAAATAAAATAATCAGTTATAATTCTAAAGCTGTCTCTAAGAACAAGTTGAAACATCTGACTAGGTTTTAGCCAAGAAGTAGAAATTTATATCAAACCTATGATAGTTTCTTTCTTTCTTCCTTCCTTCCTTTCTTTCTTTCTTTTTCTTTCTTTTTCTTTCTTTCTTTCTTTCTCTCTCTCTTTCTTTCTTTCTTTCGTTCCTTTTTTTTTTTTTTGAGGGAGTCTTGCTCTTTCACCAGGCTGGAGTGCAGTGGCGTGATCTCGGCTCACTGCAACCTCCGCCTCCCAGGTTCCAGCGATTCTCCTGCTTCAGCCTCTTGAGTAGCTGGGATTACAGGCGCCCACCACCAAGCCCAGCTAATTTTTGTATTTTTAGTAGAGATGGGGTTTCACCAATTTGGCCAGGATGGTCTCGATCTCTTGACCTCATGATCCTCCCTCCTCGGCCTCCCAAAGTGCTGGGATTAAAGGCATGAGCCACCGCACCCAACCCTGATAGTATCTTTTATTACTCTAGTGAACCTACTCCTGACACTAAGAAATTGGGAGAAACATTCTACTCAAAGGAAAATATCCCCCTGTTTTTAATTTCTAACAGAAAAATTTACTTATCTACATGTTTTCAGATTCAAGTTTTAAAAAGGCATAAACTACTGAGTCCTGGGTATTGTCACTCTGTCTCCTGCATTCTAGATATGAATATACTGGTTCTTTAATAACTGTGTCTTAGTGACAGACAGTATAAACCTGTGTATATGTGCATGTGTTTCTGCATGCATCATGTGCACAGGTGTGCATGTTCAAAATCAAGAAATAAAGAATAGCACACTGAGGTTAATAACAATATGTATTCCCTTTACCTACATTCACAAAAGGATGCATTTATCTTTTTCATTTTTAATTAATTTTAAACATTTATTAGCACATTCTTCTCACAGGCAATAGTCGACTAATGATAATTGCTTTATAATCTGATGAGGCCAGCACTGCGGACAATTTTACAGCTATAGTGAAAATGGTAAGAGCATCATCATTTTCCCCATTGTGGTCTAATTCCAATTTGTTTTAGATATTTTCTTTTGGGAAAATCAATCTGCCAATTAGTGAGTCTAATAGGGATATTTTAATGAAGAGCTTGAAGTTTTAAAGAAATAGATCAGCCCACATAATATTGGTACTGCAAATCTTTCATTCACTGAGTTTAAAAGCTAATACTTTTAATGAAGCTTCAATTATATGCCAAAAACTTCTATGTCTCTGACAGGGAAACCAAGCAAAGTAATGAATTAAGATTTCACTTTAAATCAAAGTAAGGCATAACTGCTTCTTTATATTTTAAGTAAAATAATTCTTTCTTCTTCCAAATGGAAGGCAAGCTCCAAAAATACATGAGTTCCTTTAGGTGCTGTGTGTCTGTGGGAAAATTATATACCTCTCCTGTCTTTGTGTTACATGAATTTAGAATGAGAATGTCTGATAAGACTTTTAGTTCTGGAGAATCAAGTTTTATCATAATAGTGAAATCATCAGTGAGCATTGAAAGACAATAGGGCTGAATATATAGGGACCCAGGTTCTAGCCCCAGTTTGGCCTCAAAACAAGAATGTTACTTTAGAAAACATGGTTTAACTTGTCTGTCAGTTTCTTTAGCTACTAAAAAATGTGAGGATCAAAAGGAAATGATTTGAAAATCTTAAAACTTATATGAATAAAAGGTATTTATATGAGTAATTAAAATTATCTAAGTTACTTAAATGCAATTTTAACTTTAAAATTATTTTAATGCATATAATTGTATTGCCTTACCATATCAAAAATTATTATAGTGTCTGTTTATAAACAAGCTTATATTTGGTTATTTATGCACAAAATACATAGATATAAAATATTCTTTCATAATTTGAGCCAATGATTTTAGGCTCTAGACTCATAAACATTATGCATACATTCTGACGACGCTGTTTGTAACTGCATAGGTAGTCTTTTTATTCCAATATTTTCTAGAAAAAAATGATAAACTATAAATAATATGACAGATCGGCAATTTCTTACACAACTAAAGGTACAATTACCACATGATCCAGCAATCACGCTCCTTAATATTTACCCAAATGAGTTGAAAACTTACACCCACACAAAAACCTGCACATGGATGTTTGTAGAAATTTTATCTGCACGTGGAAGTTTATAGATACTATATTTATAATTGTCTGTCAAAACTTAGACACAACCAGGATGTCTTCAGTAGGTGAATGGATAAAGAAACCGTGGTACATCCAGACAATGGAATGTTATTCAGCACTAAAGAGAACTTGTCAAGCCATGAAAAGACATGGGGGAAACGGAAATGTATATTAATAAGTGAAAGAAGCCAACCTGAACAGCCTATATACTATACTATACCAATGATAAGACATTATAATTATATAATTATAAGACGTTTTAATTACTATACTATTCCAATTATAAGGCATTCTGGAAAAGACAAAAAGACAGTGAAAAGATCAGTGGTTGCCAGGGGTTGGCAGGAAGGAGTGATGGATAAGAGCAGCACAGTGGACTTTTAGAGCAGTGAAACAACTCTGTATGACACTATAATAGTGGATACATTTGTCTAAATTCATAGAATGTACAATAGCGAGAGTGAATCCTAAGGTAAACTATGGACTTAGGGTGATAATAATGTGTCAAAATAGGTTTACCAGTTCTAACAAATGTATCACTCTGGCTTGGGATGTTGCCACTGGGTGCTATTGGGCATGTGTGGGTATAGAAAATGTGTGGGAACTTCCTGTGCTTTCTGTTCAGTTTTGCTGTTAACATAAAACTCCCCTAAAATAAAGTCTATTTAAAGCAAAACAAAACAAAATAGATTGAAAAAAAAATATGGCTCTGTCAGCAGCATCTTAGAACAAATCAAACATGGGCTTTTTATTCTGGCATTATTTTTTCAGTCCATCAGTTACTTCCATGCAGTAGTAAGCAGCATTGTTTGGAGAGGATAGCACATGTTTTTGCCAAGAAGCTAAAAGGCCTCTTACATCTAAAATGCATCTCTCTTTTCTAAGCAATGTAAAGCAATGGGGAGGATATGCCAGTTAATTGTACTTTTGGTGGTTGTTATGGGTTGGATCATTACCCCTGCCAAATTTATATTTTGAAGCCATAACTCCCAGTACTTCAGATTGTGACTGAATTTGGAGATAAGACCTTTAAATAGGTGACTAAGTTAAACGGAGGCTCTTAAGGTGACCCCTAATCTAGTATGACTGGTGTCCTTGTAAGAAGAGGAAATCTGAAAACAAATGGAGACACCAGGGGCATGCACTTACATAAACACCATGTAAAAACACAATAAAAAGGTGTTCATCTGCAAGCCAAAGAGAAAGGCCTCAGGAGAAACAAATCTTGGGAACACCTTGATCTTGGAAATCTAGGCTTCAGAACTGTGGGAAAATAAATTCCTGCTGTGTAAGCCACCCTGTCTGTGATATTATGTCATGGGGGTCCTAGTAAGCTAATACAGTGGTGTAAGAGGCATAAGATACATATGGGTGCATGAAGAAGAGTGCATTATCTAATTATCCAGAAAAGAGACAGTTCTGAGTTCTGGAGGGTTTCACTGCAGTTTAGAAAAAGAAAAGCTTACACAAACATGGCACCATTGCTACCAGAGTATAATTCCAAGTGGTGTTTACTTGGCTACCTTCAATGTTTGAAGAAAGCCCCAATCAACACTGAAGGAACACTATATGACTTAGTTCTCAGAAACTCAGGCCGTTAGCAGAGCTTTCCTGAGAGCAGTAACAGTTTTTTTTTTTTAAGTTTCATATTTTTTGTCCCTTATTGACTTTAATGTTATATAATTCTTAGATTCTTTGGAAAGATCTTTTAAATGAGTTGTTATAAGGCAGGTACACTCCATGAAAATAAAATAACAATAAGTTATTGAGCATTGGACTCACCAATTTATATAGATGACTTAATATATTCTCAGAAAACACAATGAACTCAATATTATCATCTTCTCTACTTGCAATTGGAAACACTGAGGCTTAGAGAGGCTAAGTGATTTTACTAAGGTTATGTAACTATTATGTGTCACAATCAGGGTTTGAAACAAAGTCTGTCAGACACTGAAGCCTGTGTTCTTAAACATTATGCCACAGTGCCACACATTTTCTCTTTCTATGGTTGCCAGGTTTGGCAAATAAAAATACAGAATGTCTTGTATTTTACCTGACAACCTTACCTTTGACTAATAAGTTTAATGTTATAATATGTTTAGTTTGAATCAAAAAGGGACTTAAAAATCAAGTTGCATTTGAGTTTTGGAATTGGGAATTAACAGAACATCCATTATCCTTGGAGTACAGAGAAGGACTGATTAAGCTCATGGGAGGTAGTTGAAAAATAGACAATGCTTGAAGGTTTTGTTCCATCATGCTCTTTTCCACATTCCCAAGAGAGTCAAGGTTATCTTCATCCAGAAGTGGCACTTCTCTTTCTTTTTTCACGGATTGAAAAGTAAAATATGGAGAGTATGAGAGAATTACATAATAAACAATTTCTCTTTTTGTACTAAGTGAATGTGACTACTGTACCACATAGTAGCTAGGTTACTGTTTCTCCTCTCAACTGTGTAGGGAATTATATCAGATTATTATAGGTGTACTCTTCATTTTCATCATATGCAAAAGACATATAGGGGACATCAACAATATCCTAGGTAAAATTAGACTCAATAAGGTATTAAGAAAACCCCAAGGCCCTGCCAGGCTTAAGGAATATAGCCAAGGATCATAGTGTAACAATGTATTTACTCATCTCAGTAGAACCAAGACATCATGGGACATTAAAGGTCCATAAACTTCTGGGGAGAATAAAAAGGAGATTTGGGAGACTTAAAGATGAATTTATCATCTCAGTGAACAGTCAGTTTTCTGAGTAGTATATGGGGCCAAATGTCAAGAAACTACAACAGGGAACAGGAAGATTGCTTTCACTGAACTTGGCTAGAGTTTCATGTGCTCCTACTTTGGGACTAGCAGATAAAGGAGACTATATCAAACAAGAATAATGATCCCTTCCTTCCAGGGTTATAAAGTGCTTGATGTGTGTCTCTATAAAAATGGGAACTAGGCTGGGCACGGTGGCTGACGCTTGTAATCCCAGTACTTTGGGAGGCCAAGGCGGGAGGATCAGGAGGCCAGGAGTTCGAGACCAGCCTGACCAACATAGTGAAACCCAGTCTCTACTAAAAATACAAAAATTAGCCCGGTGTGGTGGCATGCGCCTGCCGTCCCAGCTACTCGAGAGGCTGAAGTGGGAGAATTGCTTGAACCCGGGAGGTGGAGGTTGAAGTGAGCCTAGACCACTCCATTGCACTACAGCCTGGGTGACAGAGTGAGACTCTGTCTTAAATAAATAAATAAGTAAATAAATAATAAAAAAGGAAACTAACATGAGACACAGAATAACTTAGGAACATTAGAGAGTTGTCATACCTAATGGCACGCAGCTAGGTGTATTTAAAAAGCCAGCAATTAGCTGTTCATATCATCTTATATCCTAGGTGGAGAACCATTATTTTATCATAAAGAGTACTACTTATTAACATCACATATTCGGTAAACATTTGGAGTACCAGTCATGGGGGATAGAGTGAATAAAAGGAGTAGAGTACTTTCAAAACTGAGGAGTTCAAGAGTTGGTCTACGGTCTTAACAACCTAGGCAAAACTACAATTTTTATGAGAGTTTGCTCACTTCCAGTACTTTCTGTATTTTGCTTTCTAGGTGCCTAGGACACTCACATTTTAAAGACATCCAGGTTGATGCTCTGCTTGTCTCTTCCATCTTCCAGAGTTTCCCTTCAGTCCTTCAACTTTGTACTCAGTTCTTTAAAACTTTTATTTTTTTAATGTCTTTGTCAGAGCTAATTTTTAGAAGGAAAGAATTTGACATAAAAGAACAAACAATTAATAACACCTTATTATGTAGCATGGACTTTCTGGAGGTATTTGAATTTTTAGAGTATATTTGATTTTAGCACCAAGAAGTGAGTCCTTAATGGGAAAAAATTAAATAATGACACACTATATTTAGGGATCAGATTGTTTTGTGGTATACTTCATTCATGAGCAAGGCCATTCTTATGAATCGTCATTGCATGTATAAGACCTTTTGAATCCAGTGGCCAATACAGTACTTTTAAGCAAACAGTGGAAATAAATACCATGGGCATAAATTCCATGACCCTTGTTTATCTGTCCACTGTAAATCCAGATAATGTCTATACCAATCATTCCCAAGTGTCAATTCTCATCTAAGTGCCAAAAGACCTATGTCACAGAAAAATGAGAAAAATGTGAACAATGAAGTGAGTAACAGTATAACAGTAAATAAATGTTGCCATTGAGATTATGTCTATATTGCATTTTTTTGGTGTTAAATAACCTTTGTTGTATCATGTCACAGTATCAGCAGGTAGCATTAAAAATGTAATTATTTGATAGAATGAAAAAGTAGCAGCTTTGTGTTGGTCTAATAATATTGTCTTGAAGTTGGACTCATTTGTGAAATTTCTACATCTGGGAATTGCTTTTCTTCACAACTCTAAAGCAATTTGTCAACTTTTGGAATTCCACAAGTGGTGGTAGTGGGTGGGGATGAGATGCTGAGTGGTAGAGAGTGGGCTGAAGAACTGGAGAAAGAGAGATTAGTCAAACTTCCAAAACAGCCAGCTGGCTGAACTTTTACCTCAGAAATGACGTTGGCTTCCCAGCCACTAAAAAGGCCCTACAGTGTCTGTCTTTGGACTTTAGCCATGAAAGACAAGTGCAGTTTTCATCCCTTTCTTGTACCATGCATTCTAAAGGCTTGAACATACTTGGACATTTTCTCCTTGAAAAGAAAAATATTGACTGTGGGTTTGTCATAAATAGCTCTTATTTTTAGATATGTCCCATCAATACCTAATTTACTGAGAGTTTTTAGCATGAAGGGCTGTTGAATTTTGTCGAAGGCCTTTTCTGCATCTATTGAGATAATCATGTGGTTTTTGTCTTCGGTTCTGTTTATATGCTGGATTACGTTTATTGATTTGTGTATGTTGAACCAGCCTTGCAACGCAGGGATGAAGCCCACTTGATCACGGTGGATAAGCTTTTTGGTGTGCTGCTGGATTCGGTTTGCCAGTATTTTACTGAGGATTTTTGCATTGACGTTCATCAGGGATATTGGTCTAAAATTCTCTTTTATTGTTGTGTCTCTGCCAGGCTTTGGTATCAGGATGATGCTGGCCTCATAAAATGAGTTAGGGAGGATTCCCTCTTTTTCTATTGATTGGAATAGTTTCAGAAGGAATGGTACCAGCTCCTCCTTGTACCTCTGGTAGAATTCTGCTGTGAATCCCTCTGGTCCTGAACTTTTTTTGGTTGAACTAAAGAGCTTCTGCACAACAAAAGAAACTACCATCAGAGTGAACAGGCAACCTACAAAATGGGAGAAAATTTTTGCAATCTACTCATCTGACAAAGGGCTAATATCCAGAATCTACAAAGAACTCAAACAAATTTACAAGAAAAAAAAAACAACCCCATCAAAAAGTGGGTGAAGGATATGAACAGACACTTCTCAAAAGAAGACATTTATGCAGCCAACAGACACATGAAAAAATGCTCATCATCACTGGCCATCAGAGAAATGCAAATCAAAACCACAATGAGATATCATCTCACACCAGTTAGAATGGCGATCATTAAAAAGTCAGGAAACAACAGGTGCTGGAGAGGATGTGGAGAAATAGGAACACTTTTACACTGTTGGTGGGACTGTAAACTAGTTCAACCATTGTGGAAGACAGTGTGGCGATTCCTCAAGGATCTAGGACTAGAAATACCATTTGACCCAGCCATCGCATTACTGGGTATATACCCAAAGGAATATAAATCATGCTGCTATAAAGACACATGCACACATATGTTTATTGCAGCACTACTCACAATAGCAAAGACTTGGAACCAACCCAAATGTCCAACAATGATAGACTGGATTAAGAAAATGTGGCACATATACACCATGGAATACTATGCAGCCAAAAAAAAGGATGAGTTCATGTCCTTTATAGGGGCATGGATGAAGCTGGAAACCATCATTCTCAGCAAACTATCACAAGGACAAAAAACCAAACACTGCATGTTTTCATTCATAGGTGGGAATTGAACAATGAGAACACTTGGACACAGGAAGGGGAACATCACACACCGGGGCTTGTTGTGGGGTCGGGGGAGGGGGGAGGGAAAGCATTAGGAGATATACCTAATGTAAATGACAACTTAATGGGTGCAGCACACCAACATGGCACATGTATACATATGTAACAAACCTGCACGTTGTGCACATGTACCCTAGAACTTGAAGTATAATAACATATATATATATATACATATATATATATATATATATATATATATATATATATATATATATAAAAGAAAAACAATCTGTGAAAACGTAGGGTGGAAGACAGTAGGGAAAAAAAAACTGAGGAGAGGAGAGAGGCAGGGATGTTCTTTATCTCTGTTCAAAGATAATTGAGGAAAATGTTCATTTGGCTTTGACAAAATTGAAAAAAATCTTCTCTATGTTCTTGGGATTCAGACCCTTAAAATAACCACTCATTTTAATAGGAAATTTACTAGCCTAGTAAATAGCTATTGTTAGTGACTCACAGCTTCTGCTGAATTAGAAGTTGGAGAGAGTGCTGGTTTACAAACCTGAGGCGGATTACTGCAGGCTCACTTGCCCCTCTTAGAAAATTCACCTTTGGGTAGCTTTCCAGCAGGCACTGCATGGGACAGAGTGGGAGAAAACATGTTGAAGCTATAGCCCACAGGGATGGTTCATGCCAGATGCCTGCGTGAATTTCATGCTAAGCCTACCCACACAACTCTTTGTTTTTGGCAACCTATCTGTGTATTTACCTTCTTATGGATTGGTGCTAAGCACCTGCCTGCAGTAAATAGGGGCAGGTAGGTACAGAGGCAGAATAGCTAGCCTATTATAGAAGTATGTTTTCAGAGGTGGCAGAAAATAACCAATGACAGAAAAATATATACACATACATATGCACGCACACGCATATATTTTATTCCTTTAATATCACCTTAATTATTGTTGTTGTTGTTGTTGTTGTTGTTGCCAGAGCCCTTTAACTTCAGAGTGAAATATTAGCCTTTGACTGCAAATCTCTTATAGGAAAGAAATCACATTTATACTAAGATGTAAATGTCTAATAGCAGACTCCTTCCTCAAAATAGCTTTCTAGTAGGCTAAAGCTACCGAGACACTAAAAAGAGAAAGGGTTTAGTCTCAGAGGAAGGGAAAAAGTAAAGGAGGGGCTAAAAAAGTTGTAGTAGGCAACCTCTAGCTATTTGACAAGGGCCAGCCTAGTGATCAAAATGTGATTTAGTATTATCTGATGGTAAAAAGAATCTGGCCAATAAACATAGAATATCATGACATATAAAAATGAGCTGTCTTCAACTTATTATTTGCAATCCTGTAATCTAAAATGATGTTATTTATTTGTCTATGTCCTTACCACCTGGTCCCAGAAATAATTTGTCAGGAATAACAATTCTAAATCCACTTCACATTTGTATTACCCCTTGCAGTTTACAAAGTTTTTTACAATTTATTATCTCATTTAAAATGATTGATAATGTCACATTGCCAAAAAGTAAATGGAATTTTCTTGAAAAATAATCAAATAAAATGAATATTTTCTCTGAGACTATCTCTTAATCAAGCAGTTTGTACAGTGTCCTTTCCTCTGAAATACTTACATGCTTTCTGAACTCTTGTCTGTGGTTTTAACCTGCAATCATAGACAATAAACCTGTTATTAAACTTGCTTGCAGCTAATATCAATTTATCCTCAAACATCAGATGCCAGATGTTTATGGTGAGAAGAAAATTAATGGCCTAAATAATGAATCAATTGAGGAGCAGTGGCCATAATCCATCTGCTCTTTAAGCCAAGGCACTGAGTCAGGCTGGCTTCTGGCTACACTGAATATTAATTAGTTGAAGAGTTAAACGGAAGACTCAAAACCATTGTTGTAAGATGCCTCCGGCCGCCCCCAAGCCACTCTTTCTATAGGCTGGGCTTTGTACAAGGAATGAATAGGCAAACAAAAAGCAGGGGACAAGGAGAGAGCTGTATAGGACTGGTAATTTGGATTGACTAATCCTTATGTGTCGGAGGAGAATGACTAAACACAGACAATCAGAGTCCAAGCCAACCCTACTCTATTTGGATGAAATCATATTCCCTAAACACATAATCCATTTTGATGACAGTTGAATTATTTATTTATTGAGTTTTATACTTTTTGTCATTGTTTTCCTAATTCTTTCAGCATTCCCTCCAAATCAAATATCAGTATATTTTACATTGTGCTTTGATGGGTTCTGTGAGGAATCAGTTTGTATCAAATAAATTTATTTTATACACAAAAATTATCTGGTGACTTGAGGCTTCAGCCTATATGTCTTCATGCTTTTTATTTCCATTTCTTCTGAATTCTTGACAGGCGAGCTGTAGGGGAAGCAATGAATAACCTAATCAGTCACCTTTTTGGATGATGATATGTGAACTGATGCTTTCCTTTTAAAATCCCAGAACTAACTTATTTCATAGGCTTTAAAAGGATGACACAAAGTGGCCTTGATACTTCTATTTATATCTTCAGGCTAGATAGATGATGGAAAGTAGTTAGCTAGCTAGTTAGCTAGATATAAATATATAGAGAAAGCAGAATCTGTGTAAGTTGATCTGAACCTCTGTTTCTTCAGCTTTCTTAAAATTTCTGGGGAGTGGTTGGAATGGTGGTGCTGAGCATACTGGATTTTTTTTTGTAACTAATGCATTCTTTACCCATTCTTAATTTTGCTCTGCAACTAAGGAGGTAGAAAAGATAGAAGAAATTAGAAAAATTCCAACCAAGAGTGATA
Source organism: Homo sapiens (assembly GCF_000001405.40). Taxonomy (NCBI): domain Eukaryota; kingdom Metazoa; phylum Chordata; class Mammalia; order Primates; family Hominidae; genus Homo; species Homo sapiens. The sequence continues at coordinate 82,710,800 of NC_000023.11, read as the reverse complement.
GTATAGGCCAAAATGCCAAAGAATAAGAGTTGCTAGAAACTATTTTGCTTTGATGGAACCGTTGGTCCCAGAAGCATGGACACAAAGTCAGTGATTGAGGGCGCTGCCTGGATACAATGCCCAAAATATACCAAACAGCAAGCCAGAGGTCTTGACTATTAGGAGAGCTATCTAAGTTATTGTGTATATTTCTTGTTTTATTTCCACAAAAATGATATCCCTAGGCTCATGTCTACAAGTAGATGGACATATGAATGCTATTCTGTGAGTGACAGCCAAGTTAAGGAGGCCTATACCTTATTTTTTAGGTCAGTGTTCAAGTCATCTTAAGTTAGCAGGAATTTGAGCCCCTCTTTTATCTACAAGCTGTTGGTAATCTGTGCTGGTTCAGAGGGATTGTTTTAAACAGGACCACCAGACTTGCATATAAATAAGTCAGCAGCCAGTTATGCCTCTGAAATATGATTTGTTTTGGGTGGGGCACAAATAACAACTGTGCAACCCATATCTCATCATTTTAGAACTTAATTTCCTCCACTTTCCTATATCCTCTGGAAAGATTCCTGCCTAGTAACCAATAACCCCTTATGATCAAGTACTAAAATAATAGGAATTAATTGAGAAGCAAGTAGAAAGAAGAGAGACATGGATGAGAGAAGAGGGAGGAAGACCCTTTCTGTAAGAAATAGACATTTAAATGGGAGGCTAGGCAGGGCTCAGTGACTCACACCTGTTATCCTAGCATTTTGGGAGGCAGAGAAGGGCAGATCAGTTGAGGTCAGGAGTTCAAGACTAGCCTGGCCAACATGGTGAAACTCCTTCTCTACCAAAACACACACACACACACACACACACACACACACACTCCTACACACACACACAAATTAGCTGGGCGTGGCGGCGTGTGCCTGTAATTCCAGCTACTCAAGAGGCTGAGGCACGAGAATTGCTTGAACCCAGGAGTGAACCCAGGAGTTGGAGGTTGCAGTGAGCCGAGATCATGCCACTGGACTCCAACCTGGGTGACAGAGTGAGACCCTGTCTTGAAATAAATAAATAAATAAATAAATAAATAAATAAATAAATGGGAGGCTAACAGCTTTAAAAAACACTAATTTTTTACTTTATTATTCAGCCTTGCCCTAAAGGAGCACTGTTTCTCTAATATGTACCCCCATCCTCTGCCAAACTCAGATAAGTAAGGTCCTAGAGGGAGTAGCTCCCCTTCTGAGCCTGGATCAGCCTGGCTGGAACACTGTTAATAAACCATCAGTCTCCTGGACTGTGTAAAGGAAGTGAATGTCCTTTGCTCCCTCCTTGTTTCTTGCCATTGCACAAAAATTGCCTGGCTCTCAGCTGAAATGAAATTACTTCCCTTAACCCACTCCACTGCACACTTGTGTGCATGTACATGTGCATTTGCTCAGGATTTTGAATGCCAAGGAGTCTTGGGAAACTATCTGGGAGAAACTGGACCACATTCCCTTGGCCCAAGTTGTGTTCCTAAAATAAGTCCACTCTACCCTCTACCTAAGGGTGCAGGAATGGGGAGCCACCACTCTCTATACACAAGAGTCGTATCACCAGATAAAATAAACACACTCTTTAGCACCAGATTTCACTTATTTAATTACCATTAGTACTTAAAACATTTTTCTGTTTAAAAGACTTCTAAAACATCAGAAGCCTTGGTCACTATTTAAACTGGTTGCACTATTTTGCAGGTTTGCTAAGTGAGAGGACAGAGGAAGGGAAATAATTTTAAAACGTTCCTAAGTAGAAGAGCCAGAGTCCTGGAGTTATTTAGAGAGGTATAAATCATAGTGAGATTCTAAGAGGTGAGCCTAACTTCCTGAGTAGGCTGAGACTGGCACCGTGGCTGGCACCGTGGCTGCTCAGTCAGGGCAGCTCTTCAATTTAAGCTTATTGTGACCATTTCCTATGAAATAAAAAGCTGTTTATTTTGAAATGCTAGTGTGCCATTTTATTAGAGAAATGCAGTAAAGTCACTTTTTGATGGTCGTGTGAGGGAATAGCGAGAGAGTCTGTTTTGATCACAATCACCTTCATCTCAGAGGTTATAACTGAGACTTTACTTTGAATCTGTAAATGTTTTCGTTTAGGTTATAAAATGAGTCTCAACAATGGCAACAATGGACTGAATGACTTTTCTTTCTTAAAATCCACTCAAAAGGGTTAAAGTGAAATGTTCTACCAAAGCTGCTTTCAGTCTTCATATTTTGCCTGTATCGTATGTATTATTCTAAGAAAGATAATAAATATGTTGCATTTATTGTATGTATTATCCTAAGAAAGATTATGACAAATTTGCTTATGTTTGAGCCTAAAAAATAAAACAAAATGGCAGTCGGAAAAAAAATGAAGCAAAACAAAACCAGCTTCATCTAAAAAGACTTTTTTGTTGTTGTTGAGTGACTTCTGTGTTCATTCTTTACATGCATTTCACACTTTCAAAAACTCAATTAGTGTCCTTTTTAATCCTTTGTGCAAATTATCTTTTTAATACTCATTCTAATGCTTTCGGTGAGAGACTTTCTGATCTGTATCCCCATCTTGGCTCTTCAGGTAGTCTCTCATTTGAATTTTAATACATTATTCTCAATCATTTTGGTTTTTAAAGTGAACAAGCTTCAGTTTCCTCAGTTTATGCTGTGGATTTATTTTTGAGTTTTATATTGGGTTGTTATCTGATAATTCGGTCATGAACATGTAAGTTGCCATCTTCCAGCTTTCTCCTCTGCACCATGAGAAACAAGCCGATGAGAATACAGTGCTCATCTGGATTTCTCAATCACTCTGACTTGACGGCTCTTATTCAGAAATCACATTTTCCTCTAGAATTTCTCTGTATTTCAGTAAACTGTAATGATTGAGTGATCTGATTATTAAAAGGCAGGATGTGAGTTTAATGGGAAACTATTTTAAAAAGAAACACCAGTTAAATTGGCATCTTTTGGATCAAATCTGTGAGCACGTTTTCCTCTTGATCAGGTCTATAATTTACTAGCCTGCTTTTGCTTTGCAAAAATCACACTGGAGTATAAATTTATGGTAAAAGAAATGTGAGAAAGAATTCCAGTCCTAGTAGCTGTTTTTGCTCTTTGTACATTTTTTTTTCTTTTCCAGAGGATTTTGCTTATTTGAAATGCATTGTATATTTAAATAATATTGCAGAAACGAAAATATTTTTGGTACCAATAACAAAAATTAAAGTGGGATTATAAATAGAAAACAAAATAAGCCCAGTTGTATTAGGAGAACACATTCAAGCAAACCTCACAGAAGTCTATTTTCAAAAATCATATAATTACATTTTCCACTTTTTATTCCCACCCCTGCTTCAGGTATTCTTGAATATGAGTTAGCCTCCTGTAATATTCTGAGTCTAACCAGCCTAGGGAATAAAATGTAAAACAAAGGTGCTTATAGACATACATTAACTATTTCAGACCTCAAGATCACCAAAAGGGCACTAAGGAGCCCTTTTGATTTTACTCTTCCCTCTCTCCTCTTCAAAAGACCAGAGGTTTTTTTTTTTTCTCACAAAAGAGTCCTATTCTCTTTCCTCTAGGCACCGCTTCTCAGATGTTTCAACCGCTGCCATTGTTTCCCTGTGACTCGGTTATTATTGAACAGAACATAATGAAGCTAGAATTTCTATGTCTACTTCCTTCTGAGGGGGCCTAATCACTTGCCCCACCTCACAGTGAATATCCCTGTGAGAGAAGTATGGTTACATTCAGTCCGCTGACAGAGAAAGGGAGGCACAGAGAAGTAGTTAGTGATAGGGCTCAGAATATGACCCTAGGCTCCTAATCCCTTAGCCTGGGCCCTTTTGTTAAATTACATTGCCAAGTCACAACATTTCTTGAATTTATTTTTCCTTCCTCTAAATGTAAAGTTTCCTGCTAAAACTAAAACTCATCACCAGCCCTAAGCGTTTATGAAGGCATTGAATTTTTATATTGCTGATGTCAGTGTATGTTTCCCCATTCTTTCAAGGTTAACAACTTCAGAAACTGTTTTGTTCAGTCCTCTCTGTGGCCAGCCAGCACCTCCTCCTTTCCTGCTCTAGTTCCATTCCACAGCAGTACTAAGCACTGAAATTGGTTGATTTTTCTTTCCCAGTGTTTGCACACTGACACCACCATTGTAATTCTGGTGCCTCTCATTGCAATTGCCTCCTAAATTGCTCTTTGCTTCTAGACTCCCTCCTGTTCTAATGCAGTACTACAAACAGGTCAAGAAATTGCATCTTTCGGAAGCACCATTTTGATCATATCCCTTGTTTAAAAACTTTACGTCCTTTTTTACCTACAAGAAAAAATTCAAACTTCTCATCAACTATTCATAGCTTACTTTTACAACACTGAAACTACACCACAACCACTCATCACATATAACTATTGTAGTTTTGTAAAAACATTTAGTAGTGTTTTTGCTTCTTCAGTATCAGAGACAATGCTGTCTTCAACTTTGCCTTTCATACAGCACCTCACGTAGTGACATGTACATTGGAGATGTTCAAGTATTTTAGAAAGAATAAATGGAAGAATAACTAAAAATTTGCCTCTCCACTTAATATCTATCTGCCTCGCTATTCTCAGAATTGTGAATTAAAATGGTCAATTTTTAAAGGTTCAATTAGTGCATGATAATGAAAGAAAATTAACATATGATAATACCAAATCTGCAATTATAAAATAACTTTTGCTCTTCACACTAAAATATTGTAGAACATTCATGAAGCTCAGATAAGTACCAATACAAAGAAGCACATAAATGTACTCAGTGTTAATATTTTGGTATCGAACATTCTAAATTTTATTTTCCTTCTAATAGCAAGCAGTAACTTTGAGAGGAAAAGGCTCAGAAATCTCTTTTAAGTGGAAGAAACGATCTCCCTTTATGAATTTACTATTTGGTTATACGTTTTAGTAGAGTGAAGGGTCTCTGTGTTTGCAACTAGAAATAAAGTGAATATATTTTGTTATCTTTACATATAAATCCATCCACTATTCTGTGTCATTAAAATAAATTAGATCTTCAGAGGAGAAGAGGCAGCAAGTTGTATTTTCCCTATTTCTCATGCAAAAGGTATATAAATATAAAAAATTTCCTCCACTTTAGCTCCTCTAAGGAAGAGAAAAATAATCTCAAATTTCATTTAAAGATTGGCTTTGGCAGGTTTCTCAGGGTTGCTTCCAATGGACAGTAGCATTTGTATTTTGTTGTTATTCCCTTTCTAAAAAGAAAGAAGTTAAACTTTTCCATGTGGGTAGATTTGCAACTCTTACTGAACTAAAATGAGCGTAATTTTACGTTTCAAATATTTCTTTAGTATTGCTTTGGTTCAACATTCTTCTTCAGCTTTGTCTCTGAGACAGAAATCAACGCGGTACTTTGTTATCTCAAGCAAGTAGGAAAGTTTTCACTCCTAAGCAATGCTACAGTATACTTGTCAGACAACTGTCATACAAAGGAAAGGGCACTGGGCTTGGACATAAGCAGTTCTTCTGCCTTTAGCCATATGGGAATATTCCTTCATTTTTACTTTTCTCCTGTTTCAGATATAGATATATAACAACTTTATTCTCACCCAAAGTTCCAAAATAAAAAGTTAGTATTAATTTACCCTGTTTATTAAGCATCCTCTTATTTGTCTCAGATTGAACTTCACATTAGTGTTACTTTCCTTTGAGCCTATAAAAAATAATTTTCATGGTGAAATAAGCAGTAATGCAGATCAATGACACAGCTATAATTCCAAGGTTATTGCTGCCACAGGTAAAAAAAAAAAAAGAACGAAAGAAAAGAAAGAACACCATGGTTTACAATATTTCCATATCTCCTACTACCAAATTATAGGTTTGTCTTCAGTGAGGAGGTACACATTGTAGTTATTGACAACTGCTAAAATGTACTTAGTTTTGTCAAAGACTTTGAATCACATGTATGGCATAAAAGGCAAGCATTTTCTCAGTGCAATGGTATGAAGGCTCGTTTGCAAATAGTGAGTTTGTGTTGGGGAGTTCTTCCCTTCCAAATTCAAGGCTTTTTTTTTTCACTTGAATAATAAGGAAAATAATATTACTATAAAAGGAGACAGAGGATGAATGGAAAGAAAGGTTTTGTGTTAAGAGTTCAATTGCAAAAGGAGACTAATTCTTTTCATACACTAGAAAATTGTTGTATTGAATATTATTTTAAAGAAATATCCCTTTTAACATGAAATTAGGCTTAAATGATATTATATTGAGATATGTGATTCAAGTGTAATGTTTAAATGTTCCATGCTCAGTGAAGCTTTTCTCTAAAATCCCGCATTACATCAACAATTAAAAATTGAATTTATGTCCTGGCAACTACCAGCCCTCCCTGAAATTTTTGTTAAAACACTACACATGAAAACTTATGATTAACTCAGATTTGTATTTAAACAAAACCAAGAGGAACTGAGACAATGTTCTTACAATCTGCACACTTCCTGAACCAAAATGTGTAGGGGAGTGGGAGCAAACGCATACATTAAAAGGCATGTTACACAAACATATTCATACTTCATGAACACATATATGGCTGACGGAATAAATTCTTCCTTCCTGTAGTCTAACTCTAAAACCCTTTTAAAAACTGAGTTTTCAGTGCAATAATGAGTCTGGTTCCTTCACATTGGATGACCTTTTTGGTCTATAACCATAATAAATAATGGTATGTGGCCAATTTTGGAAGGTCTTTGAGATAGAGACCAAATGCTAAGGTTCCTTTTCCTTATATTTTAATATGAAGGGTGTAGGTTTCAAATTCCTATTCTCATGAAAAGTAGCGTACATGCTGTGGGAAGGAAGCTTTGAAGTTATCAGAAACTTTTTTAATCTATATGATCTGGAGTAAAGTAGAGCTGTCTGTTTGTATTACTCAGGGTACTTAGCTGCTCTGTTGCCCTTGTGGGTCAAACTTTAGTGTAAATAACGTTATCCTGAAGCAAGTATTTGGATGTGCCCCACGTCTGTCAGTGAAGCATTTGGAACCAATCTAAACAAAAGCCTGAAACAGGGTAGCTACAGTACGCATGAAACTTACCAAATTCCCCTACTTTGAAAGCCTGTTTTTGTTTTGAAATACATATGTGAGGGGAAAAAGCGGACATTTGACATTTCAGTCTCTGTGTTGTTTTTCTTTTCTTTGATCTGCCAAGTGACCAGAAATATTCGGGTGTCACTTGTCCCCATAGATGAAAGCAAAGGCATTACATAGTAAAATGAACTACATGGTAGGATTATTTCTTTCTCTCTCTCTCTCTCACACACACACACACACACACAAACACACACACACCCCTGAAACGTGGGCCAGTCTTATAGTCTATATTCCTTGCAGTAATATTTGGCAAGGAGAGGGGGAGGTGAATTAAACAAAATAATTTTAAGAAACCGAAAGTCTAAAAGACTGCTAATTATTTTTATTTTATTATTTTTGTCAGGTAATTAAATCATCTATATGCTACTTTCAGAGCCTTCCACTTATCTTCTCTAGTTAAGTGTGCTCATTGATGTTGTGAAGTGTGGTTTTTGGAAATAATACTGCTGCAGTGTTTGGGAAACTGAAGAACATTTAAAAATCACAGTTCAAAAAACATTTTTAATGGCAGGGAGGCCCCACTTGAGAGATAATCAAAATTGCTTTTATAGCAGGCAAATATGTTGTTTTCTGAGAAAGAGACATATAAGTATGTAGAAGCTGATATTCAGGATTTATGTTCCCATATACTCACCAAGTAGCCACTAAAATTTTTTCAAGTTAAGAATTTAATCTCCATCTTAAAACCCATGACCCACTAAAGTAAGAATCAATGCTCTAAGTGATGATCCTGAGTTGTTGAATTGGCTCAAAAATAGTTATTTTAAAAATCAGCTACTACTTATTAATGCTATAGAATATATTTTTGTCAATCTGCTCATCTTATGTGCATTATGCAATTTAGTATACCTATAAGTAAGTATAAATTACCTGATCAAGTAAGAAACACAACAAGCATTTTACTTAGGAATGTTTGGCTTTAAATCTTGACCCTTAAATACTACTATATAGTGATATAGATATCTAATGCATTCTATGATATATGAAGTATATACATCAGACTAGACATTTTAATATGAAGCTGAGATAACACTTAGAAAACCTTGAGCATGGTACCCGACACATAGTAAGCATTCTTTAAATGTTAATATCTCACTACTAAATCTCATAAGCATTTAAAAACTGATTTTATTTTAAAAGAAAAAATGAAATGAAATAGAAACTGTACCTAAAAATACATATGAATGACCGTTAATAATTAGTCCTCTTTTAAAAAATGTGTATAGTCTAATGAGGGCAAAAACCATAAATGAATAAAATATTTCATAATACAAAATTTAAATTAATAGTTCAAGATAACAAGATGTGATAAAGCAGTACACATAGCACATTATACAGACAACAATCTCTCTACAAAACAGTGTTTTAATGTAGAACAATTCAAAAGCATTTAGGGGATAAGTGAAATTTGAAATTATCTTGAATGTGGGGTAGAATCTGCATAAGGAATAGGAGGGAGAGATTCTTGATGGACAGAATTGCATGAACAAAGGGAGGGTGGCTGAGTTGTTAAGAATACTAAATTATGATTTTTACATTTTAGCATTTTGTATTATTTGAGAAATCTGATGACCCATTTATAGCAGATTATAGTAACCCTTGACTCAACACACTCTTTAGCTTATTTAAGAGATCGGGTACTGTAGTACAACAAACATCCGTGTCAGGGTCAGAAGATCTTTTCCTAGGTCTTTTACATAAACAGCATAATATTCTATTTAAAATCCAAAATGTTTGACTTCTAATTGCCAATAGGTGGATGCTTTTTACCTTCAAATTCAAAATGCACAGAGAAAAATAATGATGATACATCTTTAAAAACATAATCTACTGGGCTATGAGTATGTATGCTTATTGGGTGTATGGTACATATATTGAGCTTAAGAGGGAAAGAGTGTGGAAGAGCAGTGGGAAAAAGAGCAGATGATTTGAAAAGATGGGCCACTTTTATTTATAACAAAGATTACTTTATGGAAGCTACTGAAAAATCAGGAAGAATCAGAGAACATGTAGCAGAGAAGCAGCTATTTAGCCATATCCCCAAACACAAGCATAGCATGTGAGTTAATAACTACAGTTATCTGTATGGTCAATGACCTCAGAAACAAAGCTTTCCTATATCAGTCACTCTTGCAAACCACTGTAGTGCTGTTAGGTCCTTCAGGTAAATTACTGCAGAGATTCCAGGCCTTAGAGAAATTGTAATTAATAGGGTGTCATAAATCTCCTCATTCACACCTGGAACTCAACTATAGCAATACTTCTTCTTTTGTCCTCAATTCCGTGGTATGTTGTGCACGTGCCACTGAGAATGTCAGCACGATGGGATCTTAGACATTCCAGCACATTTTCATCATTACCAACAGGTGTGAGACTCACCTAGCTGAATACCCCATAAGTGGTGAAGCAGCTTTGAGGTCACAAAGTTGATTATCCAGGTGAATTCCCAGCTTCCTTAGAAGAGCATTCTAAGAATTCTCAGCTTCCTTCATAGAGCATCTGCTCTTTATCTCCTAAAATAGCGGTTGAACTGTATTTTGTAATCCAATAGGGGGATTGGATTAAGTCAGACTCCCTATCTTAAAAAAATAGATTTATGTTTTAAAAGGTAGTGGTTATTAAAAAACAAATAAAAGCTTAAAAGATTATTTGGTTTTTGGTTTAATAGTTCCCGTATGTTTATTTATCTATAATGCCATTTTAATCCTTGCAATTACTACAGTTAAGAGTGTAATTGTAACAGAATTATGGTATCATGATTAACACTGCATGCTAGGGAAACATTTGACTATGGTCTCAAGACTTCTTCTGAAATATACTAAAGTCATTTCCAAAGGAGGGCTAAATTGTTTGATTATGAGAGGAGCTAAAATATAAACTAGTTGCAATGTAGTTACCCCAAAGGAAGCCACAAAGTCCAAACACAGCGCTTATTTTCTGTGGTGGTTTTCTTCCAATACAGTACAACTTTAGACTGAAAAAATTATACATATAGGTAACACAAATGAATAAAAAAATCAAATTAACTGCAAATATCCAGAGATATCAAACCCTTTTATTTTTAGTTGTGCTTGTAGTTTTTGTTTACTTTATTTGGGAAGTGATGGTGACTTAAGATTGAATGGAACCATTAAAGCCCCTCTGAGTTGTTATGAAACTAACAATAATACCTTGCCAATACAAAAATAACTCCTTTCACTTGTTTCCATAGGGAAACTAGCTTGACTATTTTTAGCCTCACTTGGTATTACTGACTATAGACCTTATAATTTTGAATATGTTGAATGTTTTTAATATGGATTTCCTCAAAGTCCTCTTATTTGACAATACTTGAATTTTTTTAGATTAAAAGATGCAAACAAGTTTATACAATGGCCAAGAGAAGAGGGACTTTAAATAGGCCTCAATCCAAATGTCAGTAAAGCTCACCATTCCTTATATGAATAACAAAATTTTCAGATGTTTGCAAGGAAATCAATTCATGTAAGAGTAACAGAGCCTTCTATGAGAGCAAATAATTATTTTCTTGTAAATATGGTCAATGTGGATCAATAGGTTAGAAAAATACGTTATCCTAAATCCTCAATATGTTTTATTCAACAGTGTTTGTATCTAGGAATATAATAATTTACTCCTGAGTTCATTTTGTTTAAACTATTTATTGCTTCAAGCAGCAGATTGAAAAGTTAAATAAACATCATTATAGCTTGTGAATGTATAAAAGTTAATGCTTTTAAGAGCACTAAGTTCACCTCTTGAATGCTTTGCTGCTTAGAAATTTCTTCTGCCAGATACACTAAATCATCTCTCTGAAGTTCAAAGTTCCACAGATCTCTAGGGCAGGGGCAAAATGCCGCCAATCTCTATGCTAAAGCATAGCAAAAGTGACCTTTGCTGCAGTTGCCAAAAAGTTACTCATTTCCATCTGAGGCTACATCTGCCTGGCTATGTCTGTCTGTATCAGTATCAATATTTTGGTCAAAACCATTCAATAACTCTCCAGAAAGTTCCAAACTTTCCCACATCTTCCTATATTTTTCTGACCCCTCCAAACTGTTCCAACCTCTGCCCATTACCCGTTTCCGAAGATGCATGTTTGGGGGTATCTTTATAGCAGTTCTCCATTACCTCAGTACCAGTTTACTGTAATAGTCCATTTTCACACTGCTACTAATATAAAGAACTGCCCGAGACTGGGAAAAAAGGTTTTTTCTGTGTTGTTGTTTGTTTGTCTATTTGATTTTTGAGACGGAGTCTCGTTCTGTCGCCCAGGCTGGAGTGCAGTAGCATGATCTCAGCTCACTGTAACCTCCGCCTCCGGGTTCAGGTGATTCTCCTGCATCAGCCTCCCGAGTAGCTGTGATTACAGGTGCCTGCCACCACTCCTGGCTAATTTTTTTCTTTTTTTTTTTTTTTTTTGTATTTTTAGTAGAGACGCGGTTTCACCATGTTGGCCAGGCTGGTCTCGAACTTCTGACCTTGTGATCCGTCCAACTCAGCCTACCAAAGTGCTGGGATTACAGGCATGAGCCACCACACCCGACTGGTAGGAAAAATGTTTAATTGACTCACAGTTCGGCATGGCTGGGGAGACCTCAGGAGTCTTACAATCATGGCAGAAGATGAAGGAGAAGCAAGGCACCTTCTTCACAAGGTGGCAAGAAGGAGAATGAACACAGGAAGAGAAACCAAACTCTTATAAAACCATCAGATCTCATGAGAGAAACCAAAAACTTATAAAACCATCAGATCTCATGAGAACTCACTATCATGAGAACAGCATGGGGGAAACTGCCCCCATAATTCAATTATCTCCACCTGGTCTGTTCCTTGACATGTGGGGATCATGGAGATTATAATTCAAGATGAGATTTGGGAGGAGAGACACAAAGCCTAACCATATCAATGATTTACACATGTCTGAAATGTATAATAATAAAATCCATATTAACTTAACATAGAACTTATGCTACAGCATTCTATTATTGACCTGGTATTTATTAAGAGGTTACTTACTTTCAACTGCCAATTCTGAATGTTTTTGTCTGGATCTTTCTTCAGTTTTTGAAAACTGTCACAGTAAACATTGCTACATAATATAACTATATGAACAACAGATTAAGTGATTTTCCTAGAATGTATCTCTCTCTCTATATATACATACATATATATGTATATACATATGTGTGTGTATATATATGTTGTATATATGTAGTTGTCCAATGATATATGTATATATACGTATATATACATATATATACGTATATATGTATATACCTAAATTGCAATGTAGTTAACACAAAAGAAGTCACAAAATCCAAACACAACTCTTACTTTCTATGCTGGTTTTCTTCCAATTCAGTATAACTTTAGACTGAAAAATTGTACATATAATTAACACAAATGAATCAAACAAAATCAAATTAACTGCAAATATCCAGAGATATAAAATTCGTTTATTTTTAGTTGTGTATGTACTTTTTGTTTACTTTATTTGGGAAGTGGTGGTGATGATACATACATGCACATACATATGTAGTCCACAATGAAGAAAACTCTCTTCTTATATTTTCATATGTATTCTTTAATTTAAAACTACTGAATTGGAGATTGCATATGTAAGCCATTTACAGAGGCAAGAGAGCATTCTGTGCTCAATTAGCACAACAAATTCAGTAGTGAAAGGCTTTTCGTATTCTATAATTGGGTTAACATTGTGGGAGGCAGAATTTGGAGAAGGGTAGGGAAAATCTATGAAAAGGTTATTCCTTTTTAATTAAATCATTGAAAATCTGCTTTAAATTCCAGACAGAAACCCAAAATGAATGTAGATTTCTCATAGTAGTTGTCCAATGATAAGAAATAAAACAACCTGAAGAATCTTGAAGTAAAGAAGTTACATTTCATTTACCTAAGGCTGATTTCTCCCTTTGTAATCCATGCTACTTCAAGTAGGCCCTATTTATAAAAACAACCAAATAATTCATATATGAAAACTCAGTTAGATGCTGTCTATTCTTTTTACAAAAAAGATTGTTTAATTTTCTAGTCTTTTGCATCTCAATACACATACTTCTACACAAACACAAAACACTTGTGTGTACATTTGCTTACCTACATGGAGACTTCTGGCCTAAGAAACTTAGAGATACACCTTTAGGAGCAACTGACTGTTGAAGATCTGTTAGCTAGGATGACAAAGTATCTCTGAATTTGTAACGTGAGTCAATAGAAAAATGAGAATTGATTTAATAAAATAATAACTTGACTTTGTATCACACTTTTCTCCCTTTATAAAGCACTTGTACAGAATCCTGATAACAGCTTTAAGAAGTTGGTTTTGAATTAAATTAATAAAATTTCAAAACAGAAAGGGTCCTGTGGTTTTATCTTATCTTTTTACATTACAGATAAAAAAAATGTTGAGAAGTTGGGTTGCAAACCTTAGACCAAAAGAATATAATAGATGAAGTAAAGATTGTGATTAGAGAATAGTAAATCTGAGGTCCAGCTCTGCTACTCTTAAACTGTGTAAACTTTCATGAGCAAATCATTTTATTCTATGAGTCTCAGTCTTATATTTTTAAAAATATGGAACACGGTATCTAATTTGTTTAGTTATTGTGTAGATTAAGTAAAATTATATTCAGAAAACACCTACACAATATTTGGTTAATAGTTAGATACTCAACTAAAGATAGTTGTATTCTTGCAGGGCATTCTGCAATGCACACACATATATGTCTTCAGGAATATATTTACTACCTAAGGCAAGGTGTAACATTACACAGAGAAGAAAGTGTTTGGCAAATCTTTTTTAAAAGTTGTTAATAAGGGCCGGGCATGGTGGCTCATGCCTGTAATCCCAGCACTTTGGGAGGCCGAGGTGGGCAGATCACTGGGTCAGGAGATCAAGACCATCCTTGCTAATACAGTGAAACCCCGTCTCTACTAAAAATACAAAAATATTAGCCAAGCGTGGTGGTGGGTGCCTGTAGTCCCAGCTACTTGGGAGGCTGAAGCAGGAGAATGGCGTGAACCTGGGAGGCAGAGCTTGCAGTGAGCTGAGATCATGCCACTGCACTCCAGCCTGGGCAACAGAGCGAGACTCCGTCTCAAAAAAAAAAAAAAGAAGAAAAAAGAAAAAAAAGTTGATAATAAAACTGGAATTATATTCTGCTAGTTTCCATATATTTTAGAATAAGCCACCAAGCAGAGGATCAAAACAAAAACAGAAACAGTATTGAAACAAGATTTGTCTATATGCATCGATAAATATTGTCTGTACATGTTGAGGTAGGAGGATGCATCTTTTTTCTACCATATATTATTTTACCCTACTTATCTGAAATTCCAGTGTTTATTCTTGATATTTAGCATACCTTCAAATTTAATTGTAATTAAAATATAATTACAACTTTTTCTACTTTATAGTTTATTGCAGAACTGTGAAATAACATGAAGAAGAAAATAAAGAAGATTCACTAACTTAGCACCCAGAGAAAAACAAGCCTAATATTTTCATTTATTTTCTTAGTAATTCATTTCCCATGAGCATGTTTATGTATTAGAATTGTAATATGTAGAGTGAGTTTTACCAGGATCTTTTCAATTTTCATATTGTGATAATTTTTACACCATTATATATTCTTTGAAAATATAATTTTGATGGCTACCTACTAGTTCTATGATATGGACATTTCACAATATATTTTAACTACATTTAATTACTACAAAGTCAGATTAATTACACTTAGTGCAGGTATCAACACGATTTTACTTTTCTGAAATAGAAACTCTCTTGTTAATTGGAATAGCCTATTTTCTTCTAGTGAAGTAAAGGTTCCTGATATCATAACCTAGGCAGGTGGCAAACAGTATATTGGTAGCTAAAGTATATATTAAACTAATTGTAAATTTGAAGTCTTCAGACAGGGCTTGCTCACTTACATTTTATCACAATCATCTATCACAACACTATCATTTTACTACTATTTAATAGTAGAGTGTTGTGATAGAGGATTGTGGAATTATACTACTATAAAATTATAAAGCACAATTTTATCACAACACTCTATCATTTTACTACTAGTTAGCTTACTTTTACTTCCTTGGCACTGAAGGGGTTTGCTTATGACTTTTGATAGAGCTATAAGACAGATAAAATATGTAATTCTTTATTTAAATAAATTTCTACTTTACTAGCCTGTGAAATCTTTAAAAACAGGGACCACAGCAAAATCCATCTCTGTGTGTTGTATAATGTCTCTGATCAAGACTGAATCCCAGGAATGATAGAAACAGGCCTGACGTTCATCATCATCCCAGAGACACAGCTAGTTAAAAACTAATATTTTGCCTGAGTTGTAGCCACAGACCTTTCTAAATTGATTTGTAATGTTCTTGCCTGCATTCCAGTGAGCTAAGTCAGAAAACAACATGGATCTTGCCCTTCTTCTACATAGCCTCTTCTGGGTTAACTGATGGAAAAAGCGTAAAAACAGGAAAGTTACAATGCTACAAAAGGAACAGACAGGAATCCTTGCCTCTGATAAAACTTAAAGTATTTAGGGATAAAGAGTGCCTTCCTGTTCTCTCTACAGCTAGGACACCTAGGTAACCATCAAGTAAGCTTATAAATAAGGTTGATCCTTATCAAGAATAAAACGATCCTTCTAAATCTACAAAGCAAAATTCAACTTTTCTCTGCAGTGTATAAGCCTGTATCTGTTAATAGCTTTGTTTTAGCCAGTATTTATATAGAAGAAAATGTAACCATAAAACTAGAGACAATAGGCCAAGCACAGTAGCTCATGCTTGTAATCCCAGTACTTTGGGAGGCTGACACAGGAGAATCGCTTGAGGCCAGGAGTTTGAGACCGGTCTTGGCAAAATAGTAATACCCCATCTCTATGAAAATAAAATAATTAGCCTGTTGTGGTGGTATGTGCCTGCGATCCTAGCTGCTCAGGAGGCTGAGGCAGGAGGATTTCTTGAGCCTAGGAGTTTGAGGCTGCAATGATCTATGATTATGCCACTGCACTCTAGCCTGGGTAACAGAGTGAGACCCTTTTTATAACAAAACAAAACTAGACAAAAAACAATAATAAACCATTGACATGTTTCTGGAATGGAACTGATGGGGAAGGTAGGGGCGCAGTTATTATATAGCTCTTCTTGAGCCCATTCTTTTCCTTTTTTTTTTTTTTTTTGAGATAGAGTCTCACCCTGCCACCCAGGCTGGAGTGCAATGGCACAATCTTGGCTCACTGCAACCTCTGCCTCCTGGGTTCAAACGATTCTCCTGCCTCAGCCTCCTGAGTAGCTGTGATTACATGCGCCTGCCACCACGCCCAGCTAATTTTTGTATTTTTAGTAGAGACAGGATTTCCCCATGTTGGCCAGGCTGGTCTCAAACTCCTGACCTTGTGATCTGCCCGCTTCGGCCTCCCAATGTGCTGGGATTACAGGCGTGAGCCACCGCGCCCGGTGTCTTTTCCCTTTAGATTGCCAGCAAAGCCAGCTGTACTCAAGTCAAGTGGGGAAGCACACAGGTGACCAGGTTTTCTTTTAGGCATTGCCATCACTGACTTTGTCACATTTGCTTTCTGCTGACTTCTCTGTAACAGCAGAAATTATTAGGAGACATCTAGAAACCCTATTTTTACTGTTAGATTCCTCTATATCACTCATTCATGGCCTGCATCACTGAATTGGTATGTGTCCCCAAGCTAGGATCTCTTTGAAAGCAAATCAAGCTACTCATAAGAAAAAGCATTGTCAAATGCATAATTCCATGGAAGTAGAAGTGAAAATTAACTTTCTACATGCATTGTTCTTGTCTCCTTGCTTAGATGTAACCTTCACAAGAGTAACAACTCTATCTTTTATTTCTGGTATTATCTCCATCACTAAACCCAAGACAAAGTATATGGTGTAGCACAGTTAATCCATGTTGTTTGACTGACTTTGCTCAGTGAAATGCAAGCAAGACCATAACAAATGAGTTTAGAGAGGTCTGTATCTCCAAGTTAAACAAAATACCAATTTATAACTAGCCGTGTTTCCAAGCTAACGAGAAATATTCAAACTATTTCTGTAATTTCTTGGATTCAGTCCTGTTCACCAGCATTAAATAACATACTGAATCCCAATACAATTTCATGCCTTCCCTTTGAATTATAATTTTTCTCCTATAACTGGTCCTGTTTTGAAAGGCCCAAACATTATCAGAAGTATATATTTCTGAACAATACAAGGCAATGTTTCTGACTGCTATCCTACCAAAACCAAAATTGAAGTGGATATTTAATTCTTAAACTCCTCTTCTGTCTAATCCAACACATTCATGGAGGAAGGCTAATCAGAGCTCAAAGAGGCCAAGGGGTAGTGCTTCTCAGCATCAGAGGTATATGGCAAACAGGTCTTTGTCAGCTTGCCCAAATCAGAGCTCCAAAGGGCGTGGTTCTGAAGAAAGAGAACAAATACAGAGCTGAAGTCAGCACCTTCTGGAAGAGCTCTGCAATCCAAGTTGTTCCACAGGGAGTACATTTTATTAAACAAATAAAATGTAGTTTAACAACGAACTTGGAGGCGAGAAGGAAAAGAGGGTCTTTGGAAAGTCTCTTAGAAAAGTATTTGGACATGATCTAACTAGAATGTTTTCCAAGATAACTGAGTACCAATTATATGCCAAGTACTACAGAGATATGATAGTAAAGATGGACTCATTTTTCTCCACTAATTTTAATGGGTCATAATGACAAATATAGAAATTCCAAATTAGCATTCTTTTTTTTTTCCTTCAGATTAGTCACAAGGGGCAGACAGGTGAGTGATAAGTGTAATCCAAATAATCATTGCAGACCCCAGTGGAAGATATAATTAGGAGTAACACCCTTATCTCAGTGACATTCAAATTGTACTGTGTACTCTGTATATAAGTTATCACTCTAAAGACATTTTTATCAGCTAACTACTATGGCATAACAAAACTCTTCAAAACTTAATGTTTTAAAACAACAAAAATGAGTGATTTTTTACAACTCTACAGATTGGCTAGGTAGCTCTGCTGATAAGGGTCAAGACTGAGTGATTTCAACTGGATTTTGTCATGTATCTGTAGTCACCTTGCAGGTCACTTTGAACCTTGCCTAGGATTAATAACACTGTTTCTTAGAGTTTCTCAATCTCTATCAGACTAGCCTGGGGGTGTTTCCATACAGAGTCAGGTCTATGCAAAGCCTATTGAAGCCTAGGTTCTGGACTGGTACATTTTTATTTCTGTTTCATTTTGTTGACCAAAGAAAGTCACAAAACCAGTCCAGTTTTAGTGAGTGTGGTGGAATTACATCACTTGAAGAAAATGAGACAAAATTACCTGCCAAGGGCATAGACAAAGAGAGGGCTAGAAAAGTAGGCGCTTTTATTTGGCAATCAATCTCTCTCAATATTAGATTAAGACATTCTTTTTTTTTTTTTTTTTTTTTTTTCTGAGACACAGTCTTGCTTTGTCGCCCAGGCTGGAGTGCAGTGGCGAGATCTCTGCTCACTGCAAGCTCCGCCTTCACGCCATTCTCCTGCCTCAGCCTCCCGAGTAGCTGGGACTACAGGCACCCGCCACCACGCCCGGCTAATTTTTTGTATTTTTAGTAGAGATGGGGTTTCACCATGTTAGCCAGGATGGTCTCAATCTCCTGACCTCGTGATCTGCCTGCCTTGGCCTCCCAAAGTGCTGGGATTACAGGCGTGAGCCACCGTGCCTGGTCAGATTAAGACATTCTTAAAAGCAAAAACCTTTTTCCCTGATGTCAATCAGGAGGAAAAGGAACACCTCATTTAGAATGTTCTTGAAAGCAGTTAATCCAATTGCAATCTTATTATATTCCTCATCATTCAGGATTTAGAGGCAGAGCTGTTCTATGATACAGCTCCAGATCAATGCTTCCCAAATACAAAGGTGATTTTGATTAGCACATTGCAGATTTATCTGGAGAGTAGTGACATCAGCAGATGGCAGAATAAAAGCTTCCAGGACTTGTTTCTTCACAAAGCCATCAAATGAACAACCAGCCATGCACTAAAATACCTTCATAAAGCTAAGGAAATCAGATGAGAGATTACAGCACTTGTTTAGAGTACAGAAGTATGAAAATATGTGTTGAAGAGAGTAGAAAAGATAGTTTCACATTATCTGTGCCACGCCTCCCTGAAATCCACATAGCACAATGCAGAAAGAGATACCTTCTCCATTGGGGAAGGAGAGTGAAATGAGCACACAACTTCATCAAAGACCCCAGCATAAGCCAGCCTCCATTGTCCCCAGCTTCAGGCCAGCCTTTATGAACCCAGGCTCACCCTCATGGACTCAAGCTCTAGGCCCACCCCAATTTCAGGCCAATGGATCTAAGTGCAAGACAAGCCCATGAATGATGACAATGCTAGTTCAGCCTCCATGGACCCAGGCTTTAATATGTCCCCCACAGATCCATGATCCAGGCCAACATTTGCAGATCCAAGCTCTAGGCCCACATTTGTGCCACAAGACTTCAGGCCTGCTCACACAAACCAAAGCTCCAGGCCTACCACAGGGGACTCAAGCATCAGACTGGGCCCTTTGGACCCAGGTGATGAATCTGCCCAAGAGTTGACCCACACACCAGGCCAGCCTACCTGAGCACTCCAGTAGCAGGTGTGCATGTGAACTCTACTAACTGACCCATCCAGAATCTCTGGATAGGCTTACTGGTGAAGGGATTTTTTCTGCCAAAATTAGTTTGTTAAGATGAGAAAAGGTACCTACTCCTTCAAATGTGCAGACATCAAGACAAGGTTATAAAAATTACCAAAAAAGTTGGAGAAACATGACACAACCAAAGGGATAAAATAAAGCACTGGTAAGTTACCCTAAAGTAATGAAGATCAAAAGATTTTCTGACAAACAATTCAATACAAGCATCTTAACAATGTTCAATGAGATACAAGAGAACATGGATAGACAACTAAACAGTTAAAAGAAATGTGAAGTTTTACAAATAGCTAGAAACCATAAAAAGACACAGAAATTCCAGAACTGAGGAGCACAATGAACTAAAATATTTTATAGAAAACCTCAATAGGAAGCTTGGTCAGGCAGAGAAAAGAATCAATGAGCTCAAAGAGATATTACTTGAAAAAACTAAGTCAGATGAACAAAAAGAAAAAAAGAAGAAGAAAAAAAGTGAAAAACTTTTTGGAATATATGGAACACCATAATGCAAACCAACATATACATTATAGAAGTCTCAGAAGGGGGAGGAAAAAAGATGGAACATTAGCTTACTTTTAATAAAATTACAGAAAATTTCCCAAATCTGGAGAGGGTAAAAAAAATACAGATCCATGAAGTGCAAAGAACACTAAGTAGATTAATCATAAATATATCTTCACCAAAAATCATTATAATAAAATTCTCAAAAGTAAAAGACAAAGAGAAAATTTGAAAGCAGCAAGGAAACAGTAACTTATCCCATACAAGAAAATCCTCATAAGACAATAAACAGAAAATTTCAGAAGGTAACTGTGCTAAAGGATAGAGTGAAGGGATATATTCAATTCAAAAGAATGAAAGGAAAAAAATAACCATCAAAATTAAGAGTACTATATCTGACAAGCCTGTCAGGAATGAAGAGAAAGATAAGGATTGTTCCAGGCAAACCAAAACTCAGACAATTTGTTAACTGTAGACTGCTTGGAAGAAGTGCTAAATTTGAGTTCTTCAAGTTGAAACAAAAGACTGCTATGTAACAATAAGAAAATATAGAAAGTATAAAATCCTCTGTAAAAGTAAGAATATAGTCAAATTCAGAACACTCTAATACTGTAATGGTGTGTAAATCACTTGTAACTCTAGTAGAAAAGACAAAATTATTAAAAATAACTATAGCTATAATGATTTATTAATGTAAATACAATATAAAAATAAGTAAATTAAGCCAGGCACAGTGGCTCATGCCTATAATCCCAGAACTTTGGGAGGCCAAGGCGGGCAGATCTCTTGAGGTCAGGAATTCGAGATCAGCCTGGTCAACATGGTGAAATCCCGTCTCTACTAAAAATACACAAAAAAATTAGCCAGGTGTGGTGGCAGGTGCCTGTAATCCCAGCTACTGGGGAGGCTAAGGTGCTAGAATCACTTGAACCCTGGAGGCGGAGGTTGCAGTGAGCCGAGATCATGCCATGTCACTCCAGCCTAGGCAACAGAGAAAGACTCCATCTCAAAAAGAAAAAAATAATAATAAGTAAATTGTGACATCAACAACATAACCTGTGGGGAAAGAAGTTAAAATATAGACATTTTGTATGCAAAGTTAAGTTGTTATCATTGTAAAATAGACGATTATAACTATAAGATGTTTTATGTAACCATATGGTAATCACAAAGAAAAGAAAACCCATAGTAGACACACAAAAGATAAAGACAAAGGAATCAAATAATACAACTACAAAAAATTATCTAATCACAAAGACAGCAAGAGAGCAAGACACCAACTATAAAACAGTCAGAAAACAATCAATAAAAAGGCAGTAGTAAGTATTGTCTATCAATAATGACTTTAATGTAAATGAATTAAGTTATCTAATCAATCAAAAAATACAGAGTGGATGAATAGATAAAGAAAACAAGACCTAACTATATGCAGCTGTATTAGTCCATTTTGCATTGCTAGAAAGGAATATCTGAGGCTTAGTAATTCATAAAGAAAAGACTTTCATTTGGCTCACAATTCTGCAGGCTGTATAATCATGCCATCAACATCTACATGGCTTCTGGTGAGGTATCAGAAAGCTTTTACTTCTGGCAGTAGGTGGAGGGGGAGAAGACATGTGAGATGGCGAGAGAGAGAGAAAGGCGAGTGGGCAGAAGTCCCAGATATTATAACAATCAGATCTCACATGAACTCATTACCACAGAGAGGGAACCACACCATTCATGAGGGATCTGCCTCCATGACCCAAACACCTCCCACTAGGCCGAAACTTCAACACTGGAGATTACAGTCCAACATGAGTTATTGAGGGGACAAATACCCAAACCATATCAGCAGCCTACAAGAAACTCATTTTAGCTTGAAGGACAGATATAGGCTAGAAGTAAGGAAACAAAAATAATATATCATGCAAATGAAAACCAAGGAAGAGAAGGGATAGCTACACTTACTTCAGAAAATTAGACTTTATATTAGTCCATTTTGCATTGCTGCAAAGGAATACCTAAGATTGGATAATTTATAAGAAAGAAAGGTTTATTTGGCTCACAGTTCTGCAGGCTGAACAAGCCTTCTTGGTGAGGCCCTCGGGAAGCCTTTACTCGGGGTGGAAGGTGAAGCGGGAGCAGGCCTGTCAAATGTCAGGAGAGAGAGCAAGAGAGAGAAGAAAGGTACCATGCTCTTTTCAAACAATCAGTTCTTCCATAAACTCATAGAGTGAGAACTCACTCATTACTGTGAGGCAGGCAACAATCCGTTTGTGAACAATCTGCCCCATGAACCAAATGCTTCCCACTAGGTCTCACCTCCAACACTGGGCATTAGCTTTCAACATGAGATTTGGAGTGGACAAATATTCTAACCATATCGGACTTTAAATCAAAAACTGTCACAATATGGTCATTTTATAATAACAAGGGAGTCTGTTAATCAAGAAGATATAGCAATTGTAAGTGTATAGTCACCCATCATTGGAGTATCTAAATATATAAACAATATTGAGAAAACTATAGGGAGAAATAGATGTCAATAAAACAATGATGGAGGATGTTAGTATCCCACTTTCAACAATGGATAAATCCTCCACACAAAAAATAAATAAGGAAACAGTGGACTTGAGGAATATTTTAGATCAAATAAACCTAGCAGAAATGTAGAGAACATTCTATCCAACAGCAACAGAATGCACATTCTTTTCAAGCTCACATGGAACATTCTCCATTATAAACCATATGTTAGGTCACAACATGTCTTAAAAAATTAAAGAAGATTGAAATCATATAAAGTAACTTTTCCAACCACAATGGTATGAAAATTTTAAAAACATGTCAGAAGAGGAAAATTGAAATATTCACAAATATGTGGAAATTAAACAGCACAATGGTAGAAACTAAGCCACCAATGGGCCAAAAATAAATTAAAACAGAAATAAAAAAAATTTTGTGTAAAACAAAATGAAAACACAGAACACCAAAACAAAAACTTGTAGAAAGTAGCAAAACCAGTTCTAAGAGGGAGGTGATTCTCAATAAGGACCTACTTTAAGTAAAAACAAACATATCAAATAAAGAACCTCACATTGTACCTCAAGGCACTACCAAAAAAGTAAGAGCAAATTTAACAGAAAATGAAGGAAATAAAAAGACCAACAAACAAATAAAATAGAAACTAGAAAAACGATAGAAAAGATTAACAGGGGGAGGTGTCAAGATGGCCAACTAGAACAGCTGTGCTTGGAGGCTCCCACAGAGAACAAAAACAGCTGGTGAATCCTGCACCAGCAACTGAGGTATCCAGGCTCTCTCACTGGGATTGACTAGACAGAGTTAGTGCAAACCATGGAGACCAAGGAAATGCAGGGTGGTATAATGGCCCACTTGGGAGACACATGGAGCAAGGGGATCTCCCACCCCTAGCCAAGGGTGGCAGTGAGTGATTGTGCTATGCTGCCTGGAAGATCACACTATTTTCATGGATCCATGCAACCCAGAGATCAGGAGATCCCCCTTGTGAGCCCATGCAAAGAGCCTTGGATCCCAAGCACAGAGCTGGGCAGGTTCTCAGTGGCCACTCAGTTGGAGACTGCCTAAGACTACTGAGCTCCTGGGGGAGGGGAAGCCATCATTACTGTGGCTGCCTGCTGCCTAAGATGACTTTGCTTCTGGGGGAAGGGGCAGTGGCCATCACTGCAGCTCCAGTCTGCTGTTTTTTCCTGCTGGTGCCAGGAAGATAGACACTTTGGATCCAGGAGGAATTCTCCATAATGTAGCACAGTGGTTGTGGCAGATTGTGGCCAGACTGCCTCTTTAGGACAGACCCTGGCTCATCCCTCCTCACTGGAGGGGCCTCCCTGGAGAAATTTCAGCAACTACAGCCAGGGATTTCAGTACAGAACTCTAACCTCAATGAGACTGAGTCCCTGGGGGAGGGGTGGCTGCAGTCTCCAGAGATCACCATACTTAGTCTTTCCCCCTGCTGGCTCTGATTAATCTGGGCAGTCCAGATGAGTGGGGCTCCCCACAGCACAGTGCAACCCCTCCTCCGAGGGGCAGCCAGAGTGCTTTGTTAAGTGGATCCCAGATCCTGTGCCTCCTGACAGGGTGCCTCTCAGGAGGGGTTGCTGGACACCTTATACAGGAGCATTTCCAATGGCATCGGGTCAGTGCCCCTCTGAAATAGAGACCCCAGAGGAAGGAGCAGGTGGCCATCTTTGCTGTTCTGCAGCCTCCACTGCTGATACCTCCAGGGGCAGGAGGGATCCAGGCAAATTGAATCTGGAGTGGACCCCCAGCAAACTGTAGCAGCCCTAAAGAAGAGGGGCCTGTTAAAAGAAAAACAAACAAACAGAAAGCAACAACAGCATCAACAAAAAGTCCCCACAAAAACTCCATCCAAACATCAGCAGCATCAAAGATTGAAGCTAGATAAACTTGCAAACTGAGAAAGATTCATCAAAAAAATGCTGAAAACTCAAAAAGTTGGAGTGCTTCTTCTCTTCCAAATGTTTGCGACACCTCTCCAGCAAAGGCACATAACTGGTTCAAGGCAGTGATGTATGAATTGACAGAAGTAGGCTTCAAAAAGTGGGTAATAATGGACTTTGCTTAGCTAAAGGAGCATGTTCTAATCCAATGCAAAGAAGTTAAGAACCATGGAAGAACATTACAAGAGCTGTCAACCAGAGTAACCAGTTTAGAGAGGAACATAAACAATCTGATGGAGCTGAAAAATACAACATGAGAACTTCACGGTGCAACCACAAATATTAATAACTAAATAGACCAAGCAGAGGAAAGAATTTCTGAGCTTGATAACTATCTTGCTGAAATAAGACAGGCAGATATGATTAGAAAAGAAAGAATGAAAGGGAACAAACAAAGCCTCCAAGAGCTATGAAATTATGTAAAAAGACTGAACCTATGTCTAATGGAGATACCTAAAAGAGACTGGGAGAATGGAACCAAGCTGGAAAACATACTTCAGGATGTCATCCAGGAGAAGTTTCTCAACCTAACAAGACAGGCCAACATTCAAATTCAAGAAATCCGGAGAATCCCAGTAAGATATTCCATGAGAAGATCAACCATAAGAAACATCATCGGGTTCTCCAAGGTTGAAATGAAGTAAAAAATATTAAGGGCAGCCAGAGAGAAAGGCCAGGTCACCTACAAAGAGAAACCCATCAGACTAACAGTGACCCTCTCAGCAGAAACCCTACGAGCCAGAAGAGATTGGGGGCCAATATTCAACATTCTTAAAGAAAAGAATTTCCAACCCAGAATTTCATATCTGGCCTAACTAAGCTTCATAAGAGAAGGAGAAATAAAATACTTTTCTGACAAGCAAATGCTTAGGGAATTCACCACCACGAGGCCTGCCTTACAAGAGGTCTTGAAGGAAGCACTATATATGGAAAGGAAAAACCATTACCAACCACTACAAAAACACACTGAAGTACAAATACTAATAACATTATGAAACAACTACATCAAAAAGTTTGAAAAGTAACCAGGTAGCATCATGCTGACAGGATTGAATTCACACATAACAATATTAACTTTAAATGTAAATGGGCTAAATGTACCAATTCAAAGACACAGAATGGAAGCTCGACAAAGAGTCAAGACCTACTGGTGTGCTGTATTCAAGAAACCCATCTCATGTGCAAAGACACACATAGGCTCAAAATAAAAAGGTGGAGGAAAATTTACCAAGCAAATGGAAAGCAGAACAAAGCAGGGGTTGCAATCTTATTTTCTGACAAAACAGACTTTAAGCCAACAAAGATCAAAAAAGAAAAAAAAAAGGACATTACATAATGGCAAAAGGATCAATTCAACAAGAAAAGCTAATTATCCTAAATAATTATGGACCCAACACAGGAGCACCCAGATTCATAAAACAAGTTCCTTAGAGACCTACAAAGAGACTTAGACTCCCACACAATAATAGTGGAAGACTTTAACACCTCATCATCAATATTAGACAGATCATAAAGACAGAAAATTAACAAGGATATTCAGGACTTGAACTCAGCACTGGATCAAGTGGACCTGATAATTATCTACAGAACTCTTCACCCAGAAACAACAGAATACACATTATTTTTGGCGCCACATGGCACTTTAAGATCAATCACGTAATTGGAAGTAAAACACTCCTCAGGAATCGCAAAATAACTGAAATCATAACAGGCTCTCAGACAACAACACAATCTAATTAGAATTCAAGATTAAGAAACTCACTCAAAACCACACAACTACATGGAAACTGAAAAACTTGCTCCTTAATAACTCCTGGGTAAATAATGAAATTAAGGTAGAAATCAAGATGTTCTTTGAAACCAATAAGAACAAAAAGGCAATGTACCAGAATCTTCGAGATGCAGCTTAAGCAGTTAATTTTTAAGAAGTCAAATCATCTCTGTAAACAGATGTCATATATATATATATATATATATATATATATATATATTATATATAATCAGACTCAACTAAAAAACTGTTAGAACTAATAAATGCAGTAAAGTTATATGACACATAACTAACATACAAGATACAGTTGCATTTCTATACATTAACAATAAACCATACACAAAATTAAAAGAACAATTCCCCTTTAATAGCATTGGGAGAATAAAATGTTTAGAAAAAAATTTAACCAAGGACATACAAGATCTGTACTCTGAAAACTAAGATATTAATAAGGAAAATTGAAGAAGACATAAATAAATGGAAGGATGTCTTGTGTTAATGGATTGGAATAATTAATAATGTTAAAATTGTTATGCTATCCAACAGAATCTATAGGTTTAATACAATCCTTATCAAAATTTTAACGACAATTTTTACATACAGTAAAACTGCACTAAATTTAGTATGGAATCACGAAAGACCAAAACAGCTAGAGCAATCTTGAAGAGGAATAACAATGTTGGAAGGATCACACTACTTGATTTCTAAATATAATATAAAGTTATAATAATCAGAACACAATGGTACTGGCATAAAAACAAGCATATAAACCAATGGAACTGAATAAAGAGTGAAGAAATAAATCCACACAATTATCAACAACTGATATTTGACAAAGTTACCAAGAACACACAATGGGGAAAAAAGTATCTCTTCAATAAATGGTGTTTGGCAAACTGAGTATCCACATACAGAAAAATGAAATTAGAATCTTATTTTATACCATTCACAAAAATTAACTGTATCAAAGGCTTAAGCATACAACTTAAAACTACAAAAACCAAAGTATAGGGAGAAAGCTTATTGACATTTAACTGGGCAATTATTGTTTGAATATGACACCAAAAACACAGGCATCAAAAGCTAAAATAGACAAATGAGACTGCATCAAACTAAAAAGCTTATGCACGGAAAAAAAGTCAATCAGCAGAGTGAAAAGAAACCTACAGAATGGGATAATATGTTGTCAAACCATACATATGATAAGGGGTTAATATAAAAAAAGTAAAGATCTCAGTCATCTCAAAAACAAGAAAACAAATAACATGATTACAAAATAGGACAAGGACCTGAATAGACATTTCTCAAAAGAAGAAGTACAAATGGCCAACAGGTATATAAAAAAAAAATGTTCAACATCCCTAATTACCAGGAAACTGTAAATTAAAACAATAAATAGTATGATATCTCATACTTCTTAGAATTACTATTATCAAAAAGATAAAAAATAATCAGTGTTGGTGAGGACATGGACAAAGGGAGGTTCTTTTTTTTCAACTTTTATTTTAGAATCGGGGGTACATGTGCAGTACCAAGGTATATTGCACAATGATGAAGTTTGAGGTACAACTGCACCCGTCACCCAGTAGTGAGCATAGTATCCAACAGGTGGTTTTTCAGCTCTTGCCCCCCTCCCTCTCCCTCCTTTTAGCTTCCCCCAGTGTCTACCATTCCTATCACTATGTCTATCTATCCAATGTTTAGCTCCCACTTATAAGAACATGTGGTATTTTCTTTTCTATTTCTGCATTAGTTTGCTTGGGATAATGGCCTTCAGCTACATCCATGTTTCTGCAAAGAAAATATTTTTTTTCTTTTTTATGGTGACATAGTATTCTACGATGTGTATTTATCACCTTTTGTTTATCCAGTCCACTGTTGATGAGTACCTGGGTTGATTCCATGTTTTTGCTATTGCAAAAAGTACTATGAACATGCAGGTGATTGTGTCTTTTTGGAAGAAAAATTTATTTTCCTTTGGGAATATATCCAGTAATGAGATTGCTGGGTTAAATGGAAGTTCAAATTTTTGTCCTTTGAGAAATCTCCAAACTGCTCTCTACAGTGGCAGGACGAATTTACATTACCACAAACAGTATATATGTGTCCCTTTTTCTCCACACCTTCTCCAAAATCTGTTATTTTTTGACTTTATAACAAAAGCCATTCTGACTAGTGTGAGATGGTATCTCATTGTGGTTTGCTTTGCATCTCTCTGATGATTAGTGATGATGAGCACATTTTCATATGTTTGCTGCTTGTATTTTTTTTTTTTTTGAGAAGGGTCTGTTTATGTCCTCTGCCCACTTTTTAATGGGGCTGTTTTTTTCTTGTTAATTTATTTAAGTTCCTTATAGATTCCGCATATTAGACCTTTGTCAGACATATAGTTTGTGAATATGTTATCTCATTCTGTAAGTTGTCTGTTTAGTCTGCTAAAAATTTCTCTTGCTGTGCAAAAGCTCTTTAGATTAACTAAATCTCACTTGTAAATTTTTGGACAAATGGGAACCCTTGTACATTGTTTGTGGGAATGTAAATTGGTACAGCCATTATGGAAAACACTATAAAAGTTTCTCCAAAAATTAGTAAAATGACTACCCTCTGATCCAGCTATTTCACCCCTAATTATATAGCCAAAGGAAGTAAAATGCATGAAAAAAATAGTAACAGGAGGAAATTCTCCCATTTGTGACAAGATGGATGAAACTGAAGAACATTATGCAAAGTAAAGCAAGCCAGGCATAGAAAGACAAATAATGCATGATTTTACCTATATGTAGAATCTAAAAAAGATGAACTCATAGAAGCAGAATTTACAATGTTGTTTGCTGGGATAATGATTGGGGAATTAGGAATACATTGGTTAAAGAGTACAAACTGGCAGTTTATTGTTGATAAATAGCTTCTAGTAATGTAATGTGTGGTATGCTGACTTTTGTTAAAAATAATGTATTGCATACTTGAAATTTGCTAAGAGAGTAGATCTTAACTGTTCTTACCACCATGTGCGGTGATGCATATGCTAATTTTCTTGATTCTGGTAATCATTTCACGACATATACATATATCAAAGCTTAAAGTATATCTAATTATATAACACTTCTATTTGGCAATTATTCTTCAATAAAGCTTGGGAAAAACAATTATTTTGATTAATAGTTGTTGTCTCAGTAAAAAGAAGCAAAGGCAATACAATAGGGCAAAGATAAATGTTTTAACTAATGATGCTAGAACAACTGGACATCCACATGTGAAAAAAAAAAGAATCTAGACTCAGACTTTACATCCGTCACAAAATTCACTCAAAAAAATTATAGAACTAAATGTAAAACACAAATCTGTAAAGTCCCTAGTAGATAATATAGGAGAAAATCTATGCAGGGCAAAGTGGTTCACAACTGTAATCTCAGCACTTTTGAAGGCATAGGTGGGCAGATCACTTGAGATCAGGAGTTTGAGACCAACCTGGCCAACGTGGCAAAACCCCATCTCTACTAAAAATTATGAAATGGTTTATATCTACAAATACTGGTATGAAACAGTTCAAAATTACTTGCTTCTTAGGTTCTTAACTGGAAATTAGGATTATTAAGGGTTAATAATAACTGTAGTACCAGCTATTCAGGAGGCCGAGGCAGGAGAATCGCGTGAACCCGGGAGGTGGAGATTCCAGTGAGCTGAGATTGTGCCACTGCACTCCAGCCTGGGCAACAGAATGGGAAAGAAAGGAAGGAGGGAGGGAGGGAGGGAAGGAGGGAAGGAAGGAAGGAGAGAAGGAGGGAAGGAGGGAGAGAGAAAGAAAGGAGGGAGGGAGGGAGGAAGGAAGGAAGGAGAGAGAGAGAGATAAAGGAAAGAAAGAAAAAGAGAAAGAAAGAAAGAAAGAGAAAAAGAAAGAAAGAAAGAAAAAGAAAGAAAGAAAAAGAAAGAAAGAAAGAGAAAGAAAGAAAGAAAGAAAGAAAGAAAGAAAGAAAGAAAGAAAGAAAGAAAGAAAGAAAGAAAGAAAAGATAGAAGGCCTTGTGTTTGGCAATAATTTTCCAGATAAAGTATCAAAAGCATAATCTATGACAGAAATGATAAGCTGGACTTCACTTAAAAACTGCTCCATAAAAGACAACAAGAAAAGAAGAGGTCAGCCACTAAATAAGATAAAATATTTGGAAAAAATATATGATAAAACACTCTTATTTAAAATATATAAATGCCCTTTGAAACTCAACAATAAGAAAACTAACAACCTGATTATAAAACGGGTGAAATCCCTCTACAGATACATCACAAGGGAAGATATACAGACGGCACATAAGCACATGCAAAGATGCTCAACATCACTATTACTATTAAACTGCAAATTGAAATAACAATGAGATACCATTACAAACCTATTAAAATATGGAAAATCCAGGACATCGACTAAATTTTGGTGAGGATGTTGAGCAAAAGAAATTATTGTTCATTGATGGTGGAATACAAAATGGTACAAGCACTTTATAAGACAGGCAGTTTCTCACAAAACTAAACATACTCTTACCATACTCTTAGTCTTTCTGGGCTGATATAATAGACTTTCATACTGTGTGGCTTATAGACAAGTATTTATTTCTCATAGTTCCGAAAACTAAGGTGCTAGCATATTTTTGTGTCTTCTAGGAGTCTGCTTCCTGGTTCATAGATGACCATCTTTTTGCTGTGTCCTCAGATGGCAGAAAGGGCAAGTAACCTCTCAAGGGTCTTTTAAAATTTTTAAATTGATGCATAATATTTGTACATATTTTTGAGATACCTGTGATATTTTGATATGTTCATAGGATATGCAATGATTAAATCTGGGCTTTTAGGATATCCATCATTTTGAACAACTATCATCTCTTTGTGTTGGGAATATTTCAAGTCTTTGTTCTAGCTACTTAGAAACATACAATATACTGCTGTTAAGTATAGTCACCCTAGTGTGCTATCAAACACTAGAACTTATTCCTTCCATCTAGTTGCTTGTACTCATTAGCCTGCCTCTCCTCACATTTCCCCAACACACACTCTTCTCTGGGGGCTCTTTTATAGTGGCATTAATCCAATTTATGAGGGTTCCACCCTCATGACCTAATCACTTCCCAAAGGTCCCACTTCTAAATATCATCACATTGGGATTAGAATTTGACATATTAATTGTCAGGGGACACAAACATTCAGTCTATAGCACATACCATTTGGCAATTGCACATTTTGGTATTTACCGAAATAAGTTGAAAACTAACATACACAACAAAAACTTCATATAATTATTTGTAGCAATTTGATTAATAATTGCCAAAACTTGGGAGCAACCAAGATGTCCCTCAGTAGCTGAATAAATAAATAAGCTGTGTAGGCTGAGCACAGTGGCTCATGCCTGTAATCTCAGCATTTTGGGAGGCCAAGGAGGGTGGATCACTTGAGGCCAGGAGTTTGAGACCAGCCTGATGAACATGGCGAAACCCCATTGCTATTAAAAATACAAAAATTAGCTGGGGGTGGTGGCAGGTGCCTGTAATCTCAGCTACTCAGGAGGCTGAGGCAGGAGAATCCCTTGAACCCGGTAGGCAGATGTTGCAGTGAGCCGAGACCGCACCACTGCACTCCAGCCTGGGCAACAGAATGGGAATCCATCTCAAAATAAATAAATTAATTAACTAAATAAACAAATAAATAAGCTGTGGTACATTCAGACAATGAAATATTATTCAGCACCAAAAAGAAATGATCTAACAAGCCATGAAAAAAAAAATGGAGAAAACTTTAAAAACATACTACTAAACAAAAGAAAATAATCTGAAGGCCAGGCACAGTGGTTCACACCTATAATATGAGCACTGGAAGGCCGAGGTGGACAGTGATCCCTGAGGTCAGGAGTTCAAGACCAGCCTGACCAACATGGTGAAACCCCATCTCTACTAAAAATACAAAAATTAACTGGGCATGGTGGCAGGCACCTGTAATCCCAGCTACTCGGGAGGCTGAGACAGGAGAATAGTTTGAGCCCTGGAGGTGGAGGTTGCAGTGAGCCGAGATTGCGCCATTGCACTCCAGCCTGGGTGACAGAGCAAGGCTCTGTCTCAAAAAAAAAAAAAAAAAAGAAAAAAAACCTGAAAATTCCAAAAAGTGTGATTCCAACAATATGACACTCTGGAGAAACAAAACTAATGGGTCAGTAAAAAGATCAGATTTGCCAGGATTTCAGGGAGAGAGGGAGAAACAGGCAAAGCACAGAAGATTTTTAGGAAAGTGAAGACACTTTGTATGAGACTATAAAGATGGATACATGTGTTATATACTTGTCAAGTCTTGTAGAATGTACAACATCTTAATGTAAAATATAAACTTTGGGTGATAATGATGTCTCAGTGGAGTTATACCAGTTGTAACAAATGCACCACTGTGATGAAAGATGTTGATAATGTAGGGAAGCTGTGCATTTGAGGGGGCAAGAAGTTTATAGAAAATCTCTGTATTTTTTACTCAATTTTACTCTGAACACATAGCTGCTCTAAAAATAAAGTTTATCTAAAAAAAAATGCTTGCAACTGACTTAGACAGAACAACTCCGCAGCAGAGGATACCTCCCTTGCATCAGAGTAGAACAGTGTGGCTTACCAGTTATTTTCCTTATGGCCTGGGTTCTTAAACATAGACAGATAAGACAGTGACTCATTTGGATGACAAGATTAAGAAGCACCAGAGAAGTAACTGAGCTTCGAAAGTCTGATGTGTAGTGCTTTAGGGTATATCAGTATAGTTTCATACCCTGATCTCACAGTGCTATAATTTTTACCGTTTGAGTTTCATTTTTAGATGGTTTATTCCAAAATTAATTAATCTGGTTGTTTACCAGGTGACCAGAAGGACCTAGAGAAGGAGAACACTGGGGACCTAGGAAAATAAGCAATTTTGACAAATTTGCAGACTTACTTAGATGTGGTGGTTTTCAATTTTGTGTGTACATTAGGCTTACTCCAAGAGATTTAATAAAAATATTAATGCCCAGGCACTAGGCTTCAGAGATTCCAATTTAATTGATCTAGACGGAGTCTGAGTAAATCTTTTAAAAGCACCTGTGATAGTTAATTTCAGGTGTCAATTTGGCTGGATTAAGGAATACCTAAGGCATTATTTTTGAGTGTGTATGCTACATTCTTTCCAGAAAAGATTGGCATGTGACTCAGTATAATGAATGGAGAAGATCTTTTCTCAATGTCAGAGTGCATCATCCAATCAGCTGGAAACCCATATAGAACAAAATAGTCAGAGGAGAAACAACTTTTTTCTCTCTCCTTGAGCTATGACACTCTTCTTCACCTAGCTATAAATATTAGAATTCCAGGCTCTGTGGCCTTTGGACACAGGAACTTACACCAGCAGACCCATGAGTTCTCAGGCCTTTGGCCTTGGACTGAGAATCACAACATCCGCTACCCTAGTTCTTAGGCACTTAGTGTCAAGGTTACACAATGAAATACAGAAAATATTATAAATTATACAGATTATTTGAGCTAAAAGATTGAGAATGACCACAAGGGGGCATAGCATTAGCAGCAGTTACAAGTGGGGTATTAAAGAAAAAGAAGAGGTGATTTTCAAGTTGTTTGTCAAAAATTTACATTAAAATAGCATAATCTATTGATTGGCCATACCTTGTCGTTTTAATTGCAAATTCCAGGAACATGAAGATAATATATGAGGCAATTAGGCAAAAATTACCTTTAAACAATTGCTTCTGGGCATGGGGGTGTGGGGAAGAATGGCTGAAGTTCCATACACGTCTTTCTGAGCCTAATAAATTTTTTATACCTCACATAGGTCAGACTTCTCCGAGCTATTTTTCTTTTCTCATTTTTCCCATTTTAATCAAGGTCTTTAGAAGAAAAAAATCATAGAAAAACTCAAATGATTTTGGCCTTTTATGTCCAGGAATTTAGTCTCACATTGCTAAGAAGGCTTTTTCCCAGAAGATCCTTTACTACATGGGGCAAGGAGAACAGATACATCTCAGTGAACAATTGTATGGAAACCAAAAGTCAAATTGGGAAGGCATCACAGGATGGCATAAATTAGACCATATTCAAGTCACTGATTTATATAGCTGTTGTCTCTTGTTGAAATATTTCTAGTCTTTGGAATACCATGAGTTCAGGTTTCTCACAAGTAAAACAATGAGAGATACATAGTAGAACTATACTACATATAAGGATTATAATCAAAAGGAGAATGTGTACACTAGAACTAAAAGTATTTCATTGGAGAGTCAATTAAGAACATCATGAAGAAAATTAAAACCTGGTTCTTCTTCAGAGCAATGATATAGCCAGTAAATAATTCTGAATTTAGTCAAAATTGTAGGAAAGTAATAAAAGCTCAAAAACAATGGTCAGAGCTGGAATTTATTAGGTTGGTGCAAAAGTAATTGCAGGTTTTGCTGTTAATTTTAATAGCAGAAATTGCAATCACTTTTGCACGAACCTAATAATAACAAGTGTGCTATAGTTTTTTTATGAAACATAGTGCTTCTCTTTCCAGTTCCCCATTTTTACCAAAGTTGAATCTTAGTAGGGCCAATTTACTTGCAAGATAAGTTTTAGTATTATACATGGCCTGATTATTTGCATAAAGTGCAAAAAGAATGCTGAATGATCATATAAGTTTTAAGTTGGCTTTGCTGGAAATTTTTGATAAAGAATCTCAGATTAGACTTTTAAAAGCCTCTCAAGGTTAGGAAGCCAAGCCAAGAATTTACCATGAGACTGTGCCTGGAATGCCTGTATAATTTGAATGAGTTTATCTCTGCTCAAGATCCCAAAATACCTTGAGTGTCCTGGGATTGTAAGGAAGTAATACTTTTCACTTACTGCAAGATCAGGAAGCTTATAAAGAAAGCACATAGACATGGTAACAGGCCAGTCTTTTCAAAGGACTTTTTATTGGTTCTATAAAGTCAAGTTGCTAGAGACAGGAGGCAGATAATTTCTAGGCAGAAAAGACCCCACTCTCAAGCCTGGAACTACAGCCCAAAGTGAGAAAATGCATTTCTGTGTTCCCACTTGAGTGCTGCATTTTCCAAAACCACCCATTACCTGCCCTGTCCCCCATACTGTACCCATAAAAACTCCCAAGATCACACCAGCAGAGAGAAGAAGTGGCCAAACATCGAGAGGAGAAGCAGCTGGACATCAGAGAGAAACAGCTTGACATCAGAGGGATGGCTTGATGGTGGGACTTTGAGAAAGTGTCTGGCCAGAGATGACCAGACTTCAGGGGAAGAATACCTTCCCACTCAATCTCCTTTCCAGTTTCCCTTCCCACTGAGAGCCACTTCCATTGGCAGTGAAATCCCCTGCATTTACTATCCTTCAATTTATTCATGTGACCTGATTTTCTCTGGACACCAGACAAGAGCTCAGGATGCAGAAGGCTGTCACACTGATCCTCTGTCCATGTGAAAAGACAGAGGGTCCACCAAGCTGTTAAACACTTAAGCCATCCACAGATGCCAAAGCTAAAAGAGTGCTGACTTTAACACTCCTTCTGGGGCTTTAGGGGTTGAAGGTGCTCCCCTAAGACACTACCACGGGGCCTGCATGGAGTTTGCTCCTGTCAGTGCCCAGAAGTACTCACCTCGGCTTGGCTCCTGCAACAACTCAGCTGCACTTCCCCTTGCCTGAGGGGTGGATCCTAGTGAGTGAAGCCAGCCTAAGCAGCCAGCTAGCCCTAGTGACTTCGCTCCAGCTCCCCTACACCCTGGGAAGAGGTCAGGGAAAATTTCCTATTTCAAAGTCAACCTCATTTTCTCAAAGCAATCTGTTCATTAGCATCTGAAAATAAGCCATTCCAGTTAAAGTGTTGGTAAAATAACCAGTGTTTTCAATTGTGTTTTATTACAAAAAAAAAACAGATTTAATTGAACGTATTTAAATAACTAGATTGGCACAATATAAGAATACTCATGAATAGTTTCCAAATTTTGCAAAATTCAGGTAGAGAGGAAGGTAAATGTTTCAACTTTTCTCACAAAATATACTTTACTCAATTGCTGTAAGCTATACGTAGCTCAAAAGAAAAATGTTTGACTCTGGAAAACAAAATATAAAATGAATCAGCAATATTTTACACAAAATGTTATAAAAAGGATTACAGTTTTCTATCAGTTTAGTTTCATGTAAGTTATCAGAAACCTATATTCATGAATAATTGCCAGAGTCCTTTTCACAAAT
Organism: Homo sapiens; assembly: GCF_000001405.40. Classification (NCBI taxonomy): domain Eukaryota; kingdom Metazoa; phylum Chordata; class Mammalia; order Primates; family Hominidae; genus Homo; species Homo sapiens. The sequence goes on along the minus strand of NC_000023.11, from coordinate 82,673,896 downwards.
TTTTTCAAAGAAAAAGAAAATTTTGGACTGAAGGTGATTATAAACTGAATTTTGATAAGAATTAAAGAAAAACCATAATTATCTGTGGATGACAAGTGGCTTAAAATAGCCATTGTTAAAGACACAATTTAAGACTGAATTTGGTTATTTCTGGGGCATACATCAATTTACTATAATAATGATAATTATGACTGATGACATATATCAAGACATATCAGAAATTTAGGAATTTCCTACAATTTTGGAACACATGTTGATTACACATTTATGTAAATTAACTCAAAGAAAGTTGAATGCTATTTCCTTTTTTTTTTGAGGTGGAGTCTCGCTCTGCCACCCAGGCTGGAGTACAGTGGCATGATCTCGGTTCACTGCAACCTCCGCCTGTCGGGTTCAAGCGATTCTCCTGCCTTAGCCTCCTGAGTAACTGGGACTACAGGTGCACGCCACCACACCTGGCTAATTTTTGTATTTTTGCTGGAAACGGGGTTTCATCATGTTGGCTAGGATTGTCTCCATCTCCTGACCTCGTGATCCACCCACCTCGGCCTCCCAAAGTGCAGGGATTACAGGTGTGAGCCACTGTGCCCGGCAAAACACCATTTCTTAATTGACAAGTTGACAAGTCTTTCCATATGATTTTAACATACTGAATAAGTCTAGTATGTATCTCTTGGTCACCCAGGGGTTCTTGTTATGTCCAAGTTAGCTTGGGTCAATACGACTACATTTTAGAATTTGAAATTTAATTTTTGGTAGTATGTCAAATATTAAATATTTAAATTAATGTTAAAATAAAAAAGTTCTAAAATACACGATTAAAATAGAACCACAGATCACTGAATATAACTGTCATTTATTTATCGAACATTATTATGTAAAGATTTCATAAAGTGAAAACTTTTATTCTTTGATAGAGAAGAGACTGTTTGCAATTGAGAATCCTAAAAAAGACAGTATGATGCAAACTTTTCCCTGCCTTTTCTGTCATTTACTCAAAAGTTAAACAAATCTTTTACTATATCTTATTAATACTACATTAAATTCTTATGCAAAGAAGAAAACCAAATTTTACATTTATATTAGTGTATATCTATATGGAAACTAATTTTAATAATACCTGATAAAGAAATCCATCAAATTTAAGTCAGCTTTGAGCACAGGAGTTAAAATTTTCATAAGCCTTTAACAACCTCTTAAAATGATTAAATTAAAAAGCAGATCGATGATCTAAAAACCTCTGTTGTTCTGACACAGGGGCAAAGACTATGGCTTTGCATTTGTGTATTTTGATATTATTGCTCAATTTTCATAGGAACTTATAAATAATTCCCTTCTAATTTTAGTGAACTTCATCACACATAATTTCCTTCATGAGATTAATTTTCTGTAAACCTTTTACAACTTGCTTAAACTTTTATTTTGTCATGTATATATTTTAATATATATGGACAATTTAGGCAAAAAATATTTTTTCTCTTTGTTATTTTTACCACACAAATTTTTCTCTAATGTAAGAGAAAAATGATACCCTTTTTAGCTTTTTTAATCAAAAATGCATCTTACTTTTTTATTTACTCTGTATATAGAATTGTTTCTATTATATCTAATAGTTTTAATTATATATAAACTTCAATATAAACCCCTAATAATCCTAATTTACAGTTAAGAACCTAAGAAGCAAGTAATTTTGAACAGTTTCATACCAGTATTGGTAGATGTAAACCATTTCATAATTTTTAGAAAGATGTTGTTTTCAATTTATGAACAGATTTAAATATAGTTAGCTTTTCTATACAATATAAATGACTCAGAAATGTTATTATGATCTGTTACTTAATTTAACATAGCATGACTTAAAGTTTTAAAAAAACAAACTATGGAAAGATCATTTATAGCTTTTATTCAATTTTCATTCAAATGATTTATTGATTTCTGACCATTGTGTTTTAATCGTTAAACAAAGAAAGTCACTGTAAACCAAAAATAAAATTTTAAGCCCCCTTGACCATCTGAATGGGCTTGTCCTCTCTGCCAAGGGCATTGTAAAGTTAACCTGAAAAACTTATTCAGTCCATGATGGGAATGAGAGAGTCATATATGCTTCATTATGCCCCCCTCCCTTTTGGAATTAAGAAAAACCTGACCAGCATTAACATCAGCACAGACCTTAAGACTGATAGAACAGAGTGTTTAATTTTGATATCAGACATTTACAATCTATTCTCTCTGAAGCCTGCTACCTGGAGGTTTCATGTGCATGATAAAACCATGGTCCCCACAACCCCTTATGTTAACCCAGATATTTCTTTCTATTGATCCTAAGTCTTTAGACAGTAACTTAATTCTTTCAACCAATTGCCATTCAGAAAATCTTTGAATCTACCTATGACCTGGAAGACCCCACCTCCAGTTTTCCTGAGTTTCTGGGCCACAGCAAAGTACATCCTACATGTATTGATGGATGTCTTAGGTCTCTCTAAAATGTGTAAAGCCAAGTAGTATGCTGACCACCTTGGGCACATATTCTCAGGATTTCCTGAGGGCTGTACCATTGGTCACTCATATTTGGCTCAGAATAAATGTCTTCAAATATTTTACAATTTCACTATTTTTGTCAATTATAATTTAATGACAGAATTACGTGGGGCCTCAGAAAAGACTCAGGATGCCGGAGGAGTTGCTCAGACTTTGATCTAAAGTCCAGCAGGGGCCCACTGAAAGCCTACCTGACTTTGAGCTTCTCCTCAAGTGGAACTGGTAAATCCTTCTGAGACTTGGATCTTTCTTTGGTTGATGGTTCTTGGCATATTTTGAGCTGTTTCTTATCCTCCTAGGAAGTTGTTGTTTAGGATCTTAATTCTGGCTTGGAGATATATTCTAAAGCATCTTCTCCATTGCCTTTTTCTAAAAACCAGGCAAACAACCCCTCTTCAGGCATCCTGTTTGGTTTCAATTTTGCATTTTAATGAGTCTTCTCCATTGATTTTTCTTCCCAAATTAAGGTCAGTTGGCTTGTTTGCATATTTGCATGAGGAACTGTACTGTCATTTTTAGAGATAAATAAGAGAGTAAGCTTCCTTAGCTCTGAAGTGAAAGGATATTTTTCTCCTTCCAGACAAAAGGCATTCCTGGGTGACTGCGGGCCAAGTGGGGAATGTCGGGGGGCTTAATTCCCATGATATGCAGTGGCTCTACAGGGAACTGCAAACAAAATTAGTTTAAAAAGGCTCTTTCAGGAAACATGTAAGAGCTGATCATTCTGTATTGTGATCCCTCTTAGAGGTGCTAGACCTCCTGAGAGAGAAACTAAGACATGTAAGAGGGCAGTAACAAATCAGTGGTGATACAATGTGGAGTCCCACACACAGTAAGCACACATTGATCCACCACATTAAACACTAGGCAAAAACTCAGTTCCTCCTTTTAATAAACAAATAAATAAAAATCAGAAAAAATATGGGAAACAAATAGTCTGAGAATAAGAAAAAACAAAGAGAATGACTTATTTTTGGGTACCCCATTGGTTTTATAATGCCTGTACTTGCAAGTGTTTGTGTAAAATGAAAAATTTCAGGGCATGCCAGGTTTTCCAGTACTTCCTCTATTACATATTTTGGTCTGTTGTGCACATTTTAAACTGATGTGCAACTTACATCAAGGAAAAATTCAGAGCCCAAAATTTGACCTGGCAACTACAGAGTTCCTAAGTTCTCTATTTTTATATTTTTCTTTCTGCCTGCTTAAATCTGCTATTACATTTCTACTGAGTTAAAAATCATTTTTTGAATCTAACCTTCTTCTGTTTGTTTTTGTAAATTGGCAAGCTTGTATTAATATCTCATGGCTAGAGTTTTGAAGTAAAAGCTACAGGATCTTTGTATATGTGTGCATATGTGTGTTTATGTGTACATACACATATTTTGTTATGTGTTTTGGCTACAAGCTACCAAATTGGCTTAAAGTTAAGGAGTACTCATAAATTAAGTAAACAATAGCCCAAATGCTTTTCAAGTTTGTGTGACTTAAGCCAAATCTTCATAAACTGGCTTTAAAATTATTGGAAAATAATATTAGAGATGTCTTATGAATTGTCAGCATTTTTGTTTCCATTTATTGGTCAAGCAGTTTCATACTTATTCCTGAAGAATACTGTGTTAAAAAATATCTTGGGTCCCCAAAATAACTAAGATAAAGGGAAAATTCAAGCTGGAAACTTCTTAGGGAGAACCTGCCTCCCATTCTATTTGAAGTTATCCCTCTGCTCACTGAGATAAATGCATATCTGATTGCCTCCTTTGGAAAGGCTAATCAAAAGTGCAAAATAATGCAACCATTTGTTTCTCACCTATCTGTGACCTGGAAGCCCCCTCCCCACTTTGAGTCTTTCTGCCTTTGCTTTGAGTTGTCCCACCTTTCCAGACCAAACCAATGGTCTTCTTACATATATTGATTGATGTCTCATATCTCTCTCAAATGTATAAAACCAAACTGTGCCCTAACCTTTGACAAAACTATTGGTGCTTGGTACCAGCGTGAGCTAACTTTATGGCTCAAATCAATAGGACAATTTGTTGAGGTCTGACAGCACCCCCCCCCTCCGAGAATTACTATCTCCCCAAATTTGATCAAGATCTACAGTTTATTTTGCTGTACAACTCCTTTTATCTTTTTTTGAAGTTTTACTTGCTTCCAACACAAGGAAGGCAAATTTTTTCTGCTTCCATAATGGTGGAAGGCAGGTAACTCCTTTATGGAGTTTGAGGTCACTTCCAACAGGGAAAATGAGATTTTATTTTTATTTTATTTTATTTTATTTTATTTTATTTTATTTTATTATTATTTTATTCCTGCTTCTAGAATGGTAGAGAGCAGTCTAAAGCCTAACACCCATCCCTAGGTCAGTTACTGAACTGGGTTTTGTCTTGTCTAAAGTTAAGATTAACAACTAGCTGGTCTTAATTTCTCCTTACCATTAGAGTACTCAGTAATCATATAAGTCGTGTGATCATTTGTTTTACTTAACTTTTTTTTTTAGTTGCTTGTTTCTGTTGTTGTTGTTGTTTCAATCCTTTTCCCATGGGTTTGACCAACTCTATCCACCTTGCTCAAATCTAAAAGAACGTTCCAAATTATAGGGAACAAGACCTCTAAAATGGCTGAATTCTGCCCTCACACACACACAAAAATGTGGTAGAGTGAGGGGGAAAAAAGGCCACAGAAGAAACAAAAAGGAAAGATTTTTTATTTTGACTACATAAGGGGCTTTATTTACATAACAAGGACACCTTTTTGCTATGCAGGCCATACCGAAAGCAATGGCTGTCCCCCCCATGCTACAGTTCGATAGCTAAAGTTCTGCCTTCTTTTTTTTGCACTACGACAGCATAGATTTGGTTCCTAATTCAAGGCCTTTCTGGTTTGATACTTGGTACTTCTGAAATAACAGCCATCTGTCCTAGCTGAAATATAGTAATGAAATTTATTTTTTTTTAAAGGAGCTCAATGGTTAGAAGTCAGCTTCATTAAAAGCTAATATCCAAGATGTGTGTTTGTGTGTATGTGTGCATGCATGTGTGTTTGTATGTAAAAGGCCTTCATGTGTTTGTTTTTGTTTTTCTCTCCTACGATCTTGTATTTTTTTGAACAAAAGTTAATTTTTTCTTCTCATTTGACTGAATTCTGTTTTCTTCATTAATAGCTATTGCAAGAGGCTACTCTGGGGTTTTTAAGGAAGAGTGAAGTTTAGATACTTAGAAAAGTCTTTGTTAAAAAAATATATGTGCAGTGTAAAAGCATCATGTGATCTAACCTCGAAATAATTCTCCACTTTTGGAGACCCAGGATTCAGTGTGGGCTCTGCCCAGAGCTCAGCGATCCAGTTAAAAGATAGATAGGTAGTCCATCTCTAAATAAAATTGGTCTCCTTATACAATCCTATGACAGATTTCTATAATTTTATGTTTGATTTGGCTCAAAGAAAAATAAAAGCATCTTGTTCTAGCACCACCAGACTTTTTCTCTCTGTATTTTATGATGTAAATTTTGCTGTATGATTTTCACCTGAATTGTTTCTTTTACTATGCAAATTTAAGGCTACTTATTTGAAAACTGCCTAGGGTGGTGAAACAGGTTATCAAGAATTTGAAAGTCTAAAATACGAAAAAAAGGGGGGCAGTTCATTATGAATCTATAGTATGTACTTCTATTGGCATGCCTAATACATCTATTTATGTGTTGTGTACACAATGTTTCACTACTGAAAATATATAAAAGAGCTCTACGTAATTGGCTTAAAGAAAAATAAAAGTGCTTAAATCAAATACTTTATCAGAAAAAAAAAGACTAGTCAAATGCTTTTTCAAGTTTACATTAAGTAAAATCTCTAATAAATAAGATACCGTTAAAATTATTGATAAAGTAATGTTACAAATGTCTTAAGAATTGCCAGCATACATTTTTTGTTTGCATTTATTAATAAAGCAATTTCATACTTAACCCTGCCAAATACTCTGTGTGTCAAGACACTATGATCTTTGCTTGTGTAATTTTTAATTAATAAGACAATGATATTGTTTTAATGAAGATAGCTACATCTTGAATTATTTAGTAAAATTACCATAACTTCTAATCTTGAGGCTTTAGGCAGTCTAGTCCACAGGGAGTAAGGAGGTTTGTTTTAGGAAAGGACTGTTATCATCTTTGTTTAAAGCTAAACTATAAACTAAGTTCCTCCCAAAGTCCAGGAATGAACAAGGACAGGTTGGAGGTTAGAAGCAAAATTGAGTCAGTTAGGTCATATCTTTTTCACTGTCTCAGTTATAATTTTGCAATGGCAGTTTCATAACATTAAATAATGACTATTGCAGTTTTCATAAACAATCTAGGTAATCAATTAAAATAAAAAATTAGGTAAATGTAATAAATACTTGTAGACAAACTTGTCATAATTTAGACTATAAATTTATATTAAATAGAATAATAAATATTTTGCTATTTGGGTATTTTCCAATAAAAATATATTTCAGGAAAATACCCTTGCTTAAAAAGGTGTGTTCTTTTTAGGACAGATGAACAAGTTTTGTCTAATTCAAAGCATATTTAAAGATTATATATAAAATAAGGTAAAGGAACCAGGAAATAAGAAAGATGTAGAGAAAATTATAAAAATAAAGAGGTATGTTTTTGGGGTAAGAAAGCTTAAAGAGAAACAATTTTATATGGGAAAGAATTTTGTATCGTAAATTTAGTCCTAAAATAAAATGACTGGATATTTAAGAAAGAGTGCTGTTCAGGACAAAGCAGAAAGTCCAAGGACGTCAGGAATGGTCTGTGTAAGTCACAACACGAGGATTAATTTAAAAAAAAACTTTTATATGATGAAATGTTTATAATTAAAATGAAACTATGTTATTTCTAGAGATTGAACTTCATGTAAAAAACACTTATACACTAAATTATTGGTTAGAACAATGAAATTTTAATTGCTTGATTCACTCTTAATAAATTGTAAGAGATCTTATAATCAGTGAACTTTTGTTGCCCCTTGCAATTTTTGGCTTTGTCTCCCCTTTTAAAAGGCACTTTTCCTTAAAGGTCTAAAGAAAATGTTTTCTTTCATCATAATATCCTGTGTACTAGAGAAGGTTTTTTCTTTTGCTTTTATAAGTTTTATCAAAATAATTTCTGTGCCATATTATTAAATTTGATTTGCTTAAGAAAAATTAAGATTTTTTTTAATTTAAGGTTATTATATCCATGTATCTTTCTGTATATGCTTTTAAAGTACTTGTGACTTTAAGTTACAGGGCTTTGAATCCTGGGTCTATAAAGGACACAAAGTCCTGCTAAATCTTAAACACTGAGCACAATTAAAACCTTATCTTCAGGCCCCATAGAAGAAGCCAATTAAAATAAAATGAATTTCTGAGACACAGGGCCAGAAATTAAAGCCATTCCACTCCTTAAGGCCCAGGGACTATCGTGGAAGAGGTGGTCATGTGAGATTGTAAGAACCAATTTTAAGAGATAAAATAAGTTCATTTTCTTTATAAATTAATAATTAATGTCAAAGGCACACTGATGCAAGACCAGCATATGAACCCCAGCATCAGATTAACAAGGTTTTCTTGAAGCATTAACCAACTACTTAATAAAGGTTATGAAGGTTATAAAAGGCTTATGAAAGTTATATGCTATGACTAAGATTAAAATTTTATAGATTGCTTACAAAATTTTGAAAAACACATTTAATTGGCTTCATGCTGTTTTTATTAGGGCTTCTTGCTTGGAAAATTAAGTCTTCTCTCTCAAAGAATGAAGATTTTTGCTTTTTTTAAAAATCCTCGAGTTATCACTTTGGTTAAATAAATGACTGTATAATGACCTATAATTTTATTTTGTAATATCAAGTGTTTTAAACTTTGATACTCTACAAACTTTCCAAAATCAAATTATAAATTATGTCTTTTTCTGACCTACTTAATCCTTTAAGATATCAGGTCCCCTGATATCCAAAAATAACGTAATTTGGCTTATTTGGTATAAAAATTATACAGGAAACATAATCAAATATGAAATGGTGTTTGGTTTTCTTTGGGCTTTATTTGTATAAATATGATACTGGGATGTGTTCCAAAATTATGGGAAACTCCTATGGTTGTAATATGACTTAGTGTACATTATCAGTAATAATCATAGTTGTTATGTTTAAATTATTGTGTGCCACAGAGGTAAAAAAAAAATTCCTAGTAAATTATGTCTTTGACTGTGGCTGCCCTAAAATATTTTGTCATTCATGGACAATTCTTGTCTTCTTTTGTTTCTCAGAAGGTGGTTTTATAATCAGCTATAAAACTCTAAAAGGTTCCCTTGAATCAAGTTTCTGATGACTTTGGAGATTGTGACCTCAGAATAGAGGGAAAACTTTTAGGACTCACGAAGAGCTAAAATGTTCATGAATATCAAGCAAAAGAGAAATTAACTGCATAGATTGAACTAATCTTTTTGATTATTTTGCTTAAAACATTGCTGATTCTTTGTTTTGTTTTTCTGTTTCTTGAAACTTTTCTTTTAAGCTATTGACAGCTTTTAAAAATTTATTATACTCCTATGAACAAAATTTGGAGCATATTTGTTTCTCTCTACTTAATTTCTCAAGAATTTGGAAACTATATAAGAGTATTCTTAAATTATGGCAATACAGTTATTTGTATAAGTGCAATAAGAATCTGTTTTGTTTGTCAGAGGACACAATTGGAGAAACTGGTTATTTTACCCAGGCTTTGACTGCAATGGTTTGCTTTCCTTTAAGGAATCAAACTTTACTTATGGAGTCAATAAAGCCCTTGGAAAAACTAGCCTCATAGTTTGTCTATACAGCCCCATGTACAGGGTTTCTGACCTGTGGTAAGTAAAGAATGTCACTTTCTAACAGGTCCGGAAGCCCCAGGTTTATCTTGTAATCTCAACAGAAGAAGAAATCCATCCAAATCATAGCTATCTGATGGTACAGATCCATGGCTGGGCTTGACTTTAAGGAAGCATTATCTGAGATTCCTTCTATGGAACCAAGTTCCATCAAAGCCAAATTTTTTTAAAAGCCTATGTGAAAAATAATTACTCTTGGTGCACTTTATACAAATAATCTGGACAATGATAATAAAGTAAACTGGTCCTACCATGATTTGCCTTTAGTAAAAGTGGGAAACTTGAGAGAAAAAAATTATGTTTCCAAAACTATAGTATACCTGTTTTTAGCTTCTAGTTTTGCCTGTTTTTCAAATTCTATTCTTTTCTATAGTTTAGACTGAATTATAATTTTTCTTGGCTCAAGACTTTAAAATGATATTTTCATTTTTTTCTTCCTTCTATTCGTTTTCCCCTCCATTTTTCCTAATTTGAAATCACCAAAGATTAAGCTGTGCTTTTGTAAATCCCTGCAAACTGAAGCTAGACAACTTACACTTCAGAAGAAAATAGCAGCAACTTATTTGCGTACATAAGCTATTTTCATCCCTGCCTACTGTTGTATGGACTTCAGAGTAATGTGGCCTTTATCAATTTTCCAGGATTCTTCTTTTATTTTTTGTTTTTTTCTCCCTTATTCCCCCTATCTTCTCTATATAGGACACGAGACTTCCCAACCTGCTAAAAATGAGCTTTCCTAATAACTCGGGACGTACTCATCTAGGAATAAACCATCCTAGCCATAACAGATCAGATAAAACCTGGGACCAGAGACACATTTTCTTCTAAAATGCTTTCTCCAAAAAGTTCTAAAGAGAAAAGGGGGGGAATGTGAAAGGAAAATAAATCTTGGGGCCTTTAAATCACTAAGCTAAAGGGAGAAGTCAAGATGGGAACTGCTTAAGACCAACCTGGCTCCCATTCTATTCCGTTATCCCTCTGCTCACTGAGATATATGATTGCCTTCTTTGTAGAGGATAATAAGAAACTCAAAAGAATGCAACAATTTGTCTCTTATCTACCTATTTGCCACCTCCCCACTTTGTGTCTTCTTGCCTTTGCTTCAGGTTGTTCCACCTTTCCAGACCGAACCAATGTTCATCTTGCATATGTTGGTTGATGTCTCATATCTCCCTAGAATGTATAAAACCAAACTGTGCTCTGACCACCTTGGGCACATGTTGTCTGGACTTCCTGAAGCTCTGTCACAGGTGTGTATCCTCAACCTTGGCAGATAAACTTTCTAAATTAACTGATGCCTGTCTCAGATTATTGGGGTTCACAAAGCCAAGTTGTAGGCTGATCATCTTGGGCACATATTTTCAGGATTTTTGAGGGCTGTGTCATGGGCCATTGGTTACTCATATTTGGCTCAAAATAATTCACTTCATCTTTTTTACTGAGTGTGACTTTTTTCACTGGCAGCATCATCTTAAGTTACCTGTTTGCCAATCATTTTTATAGCCTGTGAATGATAGAGTCACCCTTAAGCAAGAACTCTGAAGTAAAATACACAGGTATTGTGTTGATCAGAAGACACAGTTGTTTTTATTAAACCAAAAACATTTAAGTAGTCTTATCTACTAAAGATTTATGCAAATCATGTGAACTAAAGTGCATTTAAATTAGTTTGCATTTTCCTGTTAACATATTTAAAAGCTTATTTTTTTAAGCCAATTAACTGGAGTTTTTTCTTCCTGAATGACCAAAAATCTCATGAGCCTCACAGAGTCTTTTATTATTTTGGTCATTCAAGAAGAAAGTTTTAGACCTGTGAATTGAACCAAACCTCAGGATTTGATTGTTTTTTTTCCCTTTTTGACCAAATGTCAAGTGAAGAAAGTTTAAAAAAACTCTAACGGAAGATTCAAAACAAAACCTTAACCTCAGAGAAAAGTGAAAATCATAAATCTGTGATCAGTATAACCTCAGGAATAACAAATGAAACTTGTACTTAACAATAGGGCTTCAATTATAAACGTGTCAAGTTAGGAATGTATATGGCTCGAAGTCTGAAGTTTCAACTAAGCTGGAAGGAGGCAAATCAAAAAAGGGTCTTTAAAGTCAGTTAGAGATCCCTGCTGACTTTGATGAGTTCGATGATTCAAAGTCTTTTGTGCTGATACCAAAGCTCTGATTGTCTGTAAAGTGATGGAATTCACTGGAGGACCACTTTGGGTCCCTTTATGGTAGCCAAAAGATTAACCTTAAATAATTAGATTCAGAAAATATTATTGAGTATAGAGTTTATTTAAGCTCAAATCTTAAGGATGGCCGCCTGGGATTATTAACTCAAGTTGCCCTGAATATATACTTCAATTTGCAGCAATTACAAGTGGATTTTTAAAGGAAAAAAAAGGCAAGAACAAAAATGCCTTTAAAAATTTTCTCCAGTCATGGGTTTATGGTTCATGACTGAAGTCCCACATTCATGTCTCTTTGCCTGATAAATCTTGCATATTTCATATAGCTCGGACTGCTCTGAGCTACTTTTCTTTTATCATCAGATTTAGACTGAGCCATGCTATTGGCACCCAATTGTTTTCAGCTTGCAAATAGCCTGACATGGGCCTTCTCAACCTCCATAATTGCATGAGCTAACTCTCCTAATAAAGATCGTCATGTGTGTGTGTGTTTGTGTGTGTGTGTGTGTGTGTGTGTATTTACTATTGGTTCTGTCTCTCTAGAATACCTTGGTTAGTACAGATTTTGGTCCAAAGACTGGTTCTAGAGAGGATAATTTTCTGGAAAATTTTTTAAGAAGTTTTTTTTTGTGTTTCTGGAATTAGCTTTCTAATTGGAACCTAAATGTTAACCTAAATGTTAGCAATTCTTATTTTAAGAATAGACTCAGAGGACACTGATAGTCTACGTTATAAATTGTTTATAAGATATATAAGCTATCCGCAGTTGATAATCCTAAGAAACCACTTAAAAAGGCAAATAACTTGATAACTCGGTATATGACATTTTTGAACATTAGTGAAAAACCACAAAATATAATGATGCTGGTAGGTTGCTTCTAATTTCACTGAATAAGGTGATGAAAGAAAAGGATAAACTCAGGGATTCAAATCTCAGACTCCAGTTTGTATAAATACCCTAAGGTGTCAAATTGTGTCCTGAGAGAGAATCTTCTCTCCTGTAACCACCAAAATGAATTTGCTGAAAAATCACACTCAAGCTTTTATCATGCAATTAGCTCAATTACAATAAAAGTTGAATTATCAGTCTCCCAGTGTGTCTAATTTAAAGTGAAGTTATATATTGATGGAAAAAATGAGATCCTGTAAGTTGGGTTGGGAGTATGCAGAAAATCCTGATGAGGCTGGGAACATTTGGTTCCTAAATTCTTATTACTCTTATTTGTCTGAAGTGACCTACCCGCCCTCATCCTCATTCACTGTGACAGCATCATCATCACCGACAGTAGTACAGGCCTTTGCATTTCTGTCTCAGGGGTTAACTCTATATTGCTTGAGAAAATGGTGATAGTATATCCTGAGGCAGTTGCCAAGCAAAACAATACTGACTTTCCTCAGAACCCACCCCCACCATCCCTCTTTGCTTATAGACCTATAGCTAGACTCAAGTCCCAGCAGGCCTTTAAAGATGAGGTAAAGAGTGTAACCCATGAGGGGATGTGCTACTCTATGAAAGAAATACTTGAGTTTTCTAAGAATAAGTGTGAGGGGAACACATGTGGGAACAAATATCATGGGTGTGGGATAATGGTGAAAGAAACATAAAGTTGGACAAGGGTGAATATATTGATATGGGCAGACCACATAGTGATTCTTCATTTGGTGTTACACCTCATAGAGCTAAAAAATGTCATAAAAATTTGGTTGGTTAGCTGAAACATGAATCAAAAGCTGACCCCCTGTGGTTAAGTTGCAGATGCCTGATATCCCTTGATTTAATGTAAATTAGGAAGGGATTCAAAAGCTTAGGAAGACTGGAATGCTAGAGTGGATTTGCCACTTAAAATGTAGTCACCCACAATGGGAGCATCCAGAAGACATATCCTTCACCAAAACTTTGAAAAATAGGTTTGTGAGAGGAGCCCTAGGATTTCTGAAGATCTCCATAATGGCTTTTCTTTGTAAGTCAGACTTTATTGTGGTCATTCAATTGAAAAACTTAAAGGCTGTGGGAATAGTTTGATCCTGGGGTGGCAGGAACTATGTGGCCCCACTCAACCATCAAAAATAAGTCAGGCATAGTTATCATAATAGATAGAAGTAAAGCAAGAATCAGAATAGTCTGACTTGTGTAGATCTATGGTACTGGCTAGTTAATCATGATTTTCTTAGAAGTAAAATAGCTACAAGGCCTATTAAATTTTTATTTGATCTGTATACATAGAAAACATTCAAGTAAAGTGAAAATTTATTCAGTACTGTTAATACTTCTCATATCTTTTTACAAAGAGACCTACAGCCTTTTCCCAGAGTAACTGTACATTGGGAAAAAGGAAATGATTAGACATTTCAAAAACCACCGAACAGTGGCTTAGAACTGACATTGATTCCTTGAGACCAAAATGTCACTGTGGTGCTCCACTTAGAGTAAGGGTTTATGGAAGTCAGGTAATCAATGGAGTTTTATCTCAGGTCTGACTTACAGTGGGTCCAGTGGATCTCTGAACCCATACTGAGGTTATTTCCCCAGTTCCAGATGCATACTTGGAATAGGAATACTTAGAAACTGGAAGAATACCCACATTGGTTCCCTGACCTGTGTTATAAGGGCTACTATGATATAAAAGGCCAAATGAAAGCAATTTGGGGATGCAGAGCTCGTGATTCCCAACACATCCCTGTTTAACTTTCCTATTTGGCCCATGCAGAAGACAGATGAATTCTGGAGAATAACAGTGAATCATGTAAGCTTCAACAATTGGTAACTACAACTGCAGCTGCTGTACCAAATGAGGCTTCATTGCTTGAGTGAATTAACACACTTTCTGGTACCTGGCATGCAGCTATTGATCTGGCAAATGCCTTTTTCTCCATACCTGTCTACAAGATCTACTAAATAAAGTTTGTTTTCAGCTGGCAAGGCCTAAGATACACCTTCACTATCCTACATTAGGGTTATAAAAACACTTCAGCCTCTTATCACAATTTAGTTATCAGGGATCTTGAAAAACTATCACTTCTACAAGACATCACACTTGTCCATTACATCAATAACATTAAGCTGATTGGATCTAGTGAGCTTAAAGTAGCAAGTGCTCTGTATCTATTGATAAGATACTTGTGTGTCAAAGGTAGTAAATCCAACTAAAATTCAGGGACCTTCCATCTCAGTGAAATCTTTTAGTGTCCAGTGGTGTTAGGCATGCCACTATATCTCTTCTAAGGTAAATAATAAATTGTTGCATCTGGACCATCCCACAGCCAAGGAACAGGCACATTGTTTAGAAAGTCTATTTGTATTTTGGAGGCAATAGTTTCCTCATTTGAGTCTGTTACTCTGGTCCACCTACCAAGTAATCCAAAAAGCTGCTAGTTTTGAGTGGAGCCCAGGATAGAAGGCTCTGCAACAGGTCCAGACTGCTGTGCAAGCTACTCTGACACTGGAGCTATATGCTTCAGCAGATTCAGTGGTACTTAAGATGCCAATGGCAGATAGGGATGCTGATTGAAGCCTTTGTTAGGCTTCTATAGGTGAATAGCAGCGGGAGGCCTAAGGATTTTAGTACAACACTCTGCTATTATTCACAGATAAGTATTCTTTTGTTTGAGAGATGGTTTTAGGCCCGCTAATGGGCCTTCATAGAAATTGATTGCTTGACAATGGGCCACCACGTTACCAGGCAACCTGAGCTGCCTTTCATGAATTGAGTGTTATCTGACCCACTAAGCCATAAACTGGGTGTGCACAACAACACTCTATCATAATGTGGAAATTGGATATACATGATCATGCCGGAACAGGTCCTAAAAGCACAACTAAGCTACATAACATAAAGAAGTGGCCCAAATATTTATGGTTCACACTCCTGTTACACTGCCTTCTCTGTCTCAGCCTACACTTATGGCCTCATAGAGAGTGTCTTATTAGCAGTTGACAAAGAAAGAGAATACTAGGGCCTGGTTTGCAGATGGTTCTGCATGATATAAAAGCATCATTCAAAAGTGGACAACTGCAGCACTATGGCTCATTTCTAGGACATCTATTACGGACAATTTTGAAGAGAAACCTTCTCAATGGGCAGAATTTCAGGCAGTGCATCAGGTGGTGCATGTTGCTTGAAAACAGAAATGACAAGAAGTGTGATTATATACAGCTGTAGCCAATTGTTTGGCTATGTGGTTATGAGCTTGGGAAGGAGCATAATTGGAAAATTGGTGACAAAGAATTTTGGGGAAGAGAAATGAGAATATACTCTTCTGAGTGGGCAAAATATGTAAAGATATTTGTTTACTATGTGCATGCCTACAAATAGATGACATCAGCAGAGGAGGACTTTAATAATCAGATGGATAAGATGAACCATTCTGTGAATACTAGTAAGTCTCTTTCCTCAGTCACCCTTGTCCTTGCCCAATGGACTCCTGAAAAAAGTGGCCATGGCCATGGTGGCAGGAATTGAGGTTATTTATGGGCTCAGAAACATGAACTTTTACTCACCAAGGTCAACCTGAGTACAGTCATCACTGAGTGTCCAATCATTCAGCAGCAGAGACCAACATAGAACCCCTATATGGCACCATTCCCTGGAGTGATCAACCAGCTGCCTGATGGAAGGTTGATGACTTTAGACCATCTCCATTATGGAAGGGGCAGTATTTTGGCCCTATTGGAATAGAGATTTACTCTGGATATAGATTTGCATATTCTGCAGGCAATTCTTCTGCCAAAACTGTGATCAATGGAGGTACAGAATGCCTTATCCACTGACATGGTAGTCCACACAACATTGCTTCTGACAAAGGAACTCACTTCACAGCCAAAGAAGTGTGGCAGTGGGCTCAGGTTTATAGAATTGACTGATCTTACTATGTTCCATATTATCCTTAAGCCACTGGCTTGATAGAAATGTGAAATGACCTTTTGATGTTGCAGTTACAGCACCAGCTAGTTTACAATACTTTGTGGGATGAGATGAAGAAGCCTATATATGCCAAAATCAGCATCCAATAGATGGGCATTGTTTCTCTCACAGACAGCATTTATCAGTTCAGAAATCAAGGGGAGAAATGGGAATGGCATGAGTCACCATTAATTCGAGTGACCCGCTAACAATTTTTTTCTTCCTGTTCTTACCAATTTATGCTCTGCTGTTGTATATGTCTTATTTCTAGAGGGAGAAATGGTTTCACCAGGAGACACAACAATAATTTTATTGAACTGGAAATTGAGACTGCCACCCTGCCACTTTGGGCTTTTCATGCTTCTGAGCCAACAGGCTAACAAGGTTACGTTGTTGGCTGATATTACTGTTCCAGACTAATGAGGGGAAATTGAATAAATACTTTATAATAGAGGTAAAGGAGAGTATGTCTGGAATACAGAAGATACCTTAGGATGTCGCTCAATATTACCATTCCCTGTGAGTAAGGTCAATGGAAAATTACAACAAACCAATACTGGCAGGACTATAGTAAAAATGACATAGACCCTTCAGGGATGAAGGTTTGGGTTATCCTAGCAGGTAAAGAAGCATGACAAGCTGAGTTGCTTGCTGAAGGCAAAAGGAATACAGAATGGGTAGTAGAAGAAGGTAGTAATAAATACCAGGCACAACCAGATGATAAGTTATAGAAATAAAGACTGTAACTGTCATTAATATTTCTTCTCTATTTTGTTAAGAACATGTTTGTGGATATATATACACACACACACATTAAACAATTATATTTGTTTTTGTTTCTTTTTATTTTTTATCATGTAAAGTAAAATATATTGACTTTATGTCAGTATTTAAGTTATGGAATAGCAGGAGAAAGTAAACATCACCGAGGACTTTTTCTCCTTTTCTGTGGGAGAAATTAATGCACTTCAATTGTATAAAGGATTGTTGTATTATGTTCAGCAGAAGTCTTACCCTGTAATTGTCTTTATTTGGAGATTAAGTATGGTTTAATAGGATGCTTATGAATGCCAAGTTGACAGCAGATGGATTTGTGATTGTTAGTTCTATGTGTCAACCTGACTGGACTAAAGAAAACCTACAGAAGTAGTAAAGCATTATTTCTGGGTTTGTCTGTGGGGATGTTCCAGGGGAGATTGGCTTGTGAATTGGTGGACTGAGTCAGAAAGATTAGCCCTCAATGTGGGCAGGCACCATCCAATTGGTGGGGTGTCTGGATAGAATATAAAGACAGAGAAAATGTGGCTTTTTCTCACTCTCCTGAGCTAGGACATTTTCTTATTCTGCTCTTGAATATGATAACTCCCCAGATCTCTGGTCTTTGGATGCCAGGACTTACCTAAGTGCCCACATTCCCACTCCCCTCTTGTAATTCTCAGGCCTTCAGCCTCAAATTGAGAATTGCGCTATTGGATTTCCTGTTACCGAGGGTCTTGAACTTAGACTGAGCTATGTTATCATCATCATCCTGGAATCTCCAGATTTCAGGTGGCCTGTCTTGGGACCTTCCAGACTTTATAATGACACGAGCCATTTTTTAAAATAAATACCCTCATATATACATGGTCATCCTCTGAATAGCTGCATTTTAGTTAATTATGGACCACATAAATGATGGTGGTCCCATAAGATTATGATACCACAATTTACTGTACCTTTTCTATGTTTAGATATTTTTAGATACACAATACCTACCACTGTGTTACCACTGCCTACAGTATTCAGTACAGTAATATGCTGTAGAGGTTTGTAGCCTAGAAGTAATAGGCCATATAATATAGCCTAGGCATGTAGTAGGCTATACCATCTAGGTTTGTTTAAATGCTGTCTATGATGTTTGCACAATGGTAACATTGCCAAAGGACAATTTCTAAAAATGAATCCCCTTCATTCAGTGATACATGATTAAGTGTATGTGTATGTGTGGATATGTGTATATACATATAAACACACACACACACACATACATACATACTCATTATTTGTGTAGATGCCTATTGCTTTCTGTCAATCTTCATGCCTGAATTGGCCCAACTTAGAGTGATGATGAATTCTGGTCCTGGCTAGATGTGCCCAACACTTACTTACTTGGAATTGACATCCAAAGTTTACTTTTTTTTCTTGCCACCTCACATTTTCTTTAATTTAAATCCTCAAATTTAGAACCTATGAATGCATGTATGAATGCGTTCTCTTGTATGAGATGGGCCTTATTTTTTCCATATTATTACTGTGAAGAAATTGAGATTAAGAGAATAAAGATATTTGCTCAGAGTCACAAGACTAACAAATGAGAGAATTGTGATTTAAACCAAGGAAAGGAGAGGAAGAATCATAAAACTCATGGGCCATAAAATGTACACCTTCATTAATTTATTCCAACACAGCCATAGAAAATTTTATGCAAACATCAATTCAGGGAGTACCAATGTAGAGTGCTTTAGTTTATGCTGGTACATCTCTCTGCTTCCAAATATTTTTATTTTTGATCTATTCTGGAAATTGAAAACCTTACTGATAGAGATTAATTGAATATTGGAACCATATAAATTAAAAGGTAGTAGTTTTGTTAGTATTCACTGGTGAATCACAATGAGTTGTGAGGAGTGTGACAAGCATTTTGTTACTGATAATCAATATTTATTGTTTATTGCTACCATTAACAAAACTGAATAAATAGTTAGCACACCCAATGGAATAATCGCTTTCATACATCAGAACAGACTCAAGACTCCCCTGTGGAAATGTCCTCCTATTCGTATTTCTGCATTTTTCTTGTGTCACAAATCAGCATTTGAGTGACACACAATTGTATGAATACTAGTAAACATCAGCGACCATAAATTTGATGTAAAAACTGCCTTCAGGATTCTCTAGTCTAATGATTCTCAACTGAAAATGTATACGTATAGAGAAAAGTGCATCCCACAGGTTGTCTTTCAAATTACCTGTATGATTTTTGCAAACCATACCCCCGACATTGTTATATATGGCTTCCATTATTGAGGTATGATAATCTTCACTGATAATAACCAATGTGGTTCAATTTACACATGGGGCTGGGACCACATCCAAAATCATAAACTAATTTAGTGGCAAAGAAAAAAACCCAATGCAGATGACTTCCATAATTATTTTTGCAATACCAATTGCTTAGTAAAAGACAAATTACCCTGATAATAACATATTTTGTACATCAGAGTAAGAATAAACTTAAAATAATGACTTTAGATTCACAATAAAAAGCATGAAAGAGCTGTCCTATATAAAGATATACTGAAAAAAGTAGAAATAAGAGATGGACATAAAAAAAGAGCAAAGAAAGCTAGAAAGACAAGGTTTACATTCTTTGCCATCTTGCCAAGATTCTTCTCTAAATTTAGGTGTTAAATTTAGTCTGCCACTTTATCCTTGTTTGGAAGCAGCTCCACCTTTACTTTCAGATACTCTTTGAAAAGTAAACAAAAAATTAGAGCATCCACATATATAGTAAAATTTTAAATATATTTTTTGGTCTTGTAACACAAAAGCCTTGGAACTTTAAAGGGAGAGTGATTCACTTAGTGCTTAAATATATTTCTTTTCAAAAAGGCCAAAGATGTTAGAGTTAATCTCTGTCTTAGGCCATGGTGATTGTGCTAGTTGTTATACTAAGCACTTTTGTTCTTAATGAAGAAAATAGTCTCATAAAAATATATGTAAATTTTGTGCTTATTTTATCACTGCCCTGAGCTACAGAACTTTTGCACCTTCCTTTGCAAATGTCTTTATGGTTATGACTTCATAATAATAAAATACATGGTTACTATTCCCTGTCTATGGATTGGACTTCACAAGCCCCCTTTGCACTTCACATACCTGAAATGCACTAAAGTGAAATGTCTGCCTCAGAGGGAACACCATCAAAACGCACAGATAATTAAAATAAAATACTTCTGTAAACGGCTTCAGAGTATCAAGTCTGCCAAATTGCCCTAACAGTGCCTTTTCATGTAGTCAGTATGTAATAAGTATAGTACTTTATAGAAAAGTAAATGCAAAATTACTTTCAAAAATAGTAAACTAAACATAATATTTATTTTTCTCCAATTATCTTTTCAAATGACTTCGCAGATTTGAAGATAGCACCATTTTCCTGTAGTGACAACTTGAGGTTTTAATTTAGAAAGTTAGTAATCATTTCAAAGGTATACACACATACATATATGATCACCTTTACTTTGTAGTTTTTCATTCTTTTCCTTCAGTTCATTGTGTGCCATTTTTGCACCCTCTGCCCACTTCCCAAATTGTATTTAACACACTTTTGGGTGGTTGGTCATGTTCGGTAAATGTTTACTAACCAAGTAAAAGAAGAAAGAAAAAAAGCAGAGGGAAAGAGAGACAAAAATTCCATTTCCAATATAAATTTATAAAATCATTATTAGCAGTCTATAATAACTACATATGGAGTTATTATGTATTAAAAAACTGATATAATTATGGAAAATCACTACTATCCTTACTATTATATACAACTTAGGGAAAGTTTTACTATACTGCATTAATATTTTTAAAGGAAGACCAAAAAGTTGAAGTTACAATAGAATTACTATGACTTATTTTTGTTGTACCATATGTTAATGAATTTCACTTAAAATGTTATGTGAATTCATGTGTAATTACAAAATTTAAGATACATATTAACAATAAATCACTGTTCATTATTACATTTAATTTTTTTAATTAAAATAATTTTAGAATTATAGGATGTTGCAAAATGCTCCCAAAATGTACAACATGTACTTTATCTAGATTATTCAAATGTTAAAATTTTTCTTGGTTTGCTTTATCTTTCTCATTCTCTATGTACATACATCTTCACACCTGCAAACACCCATTTATTCTGAATCATTTGCAAGTAAATTTTGCAGGAAGGAGTTGGCCAAGATGGCCAACTAGAAGCAGCTAGTGTGCATGGCTTTTACAAAAACAAATGGAACAGGTAAATAAATACAGGACCTTCAACTGAAACATCCAGGTACTCACATTAAAACAAATCAAGGAAAAAACTTGACCAATGGAGAACAAAGTAAAGCAAGGCAAGACAATGGCCCACCTAGGAAAGACACAGAGTCAAGGAAACTTCCCATGCCCAGGGAAGCAGTGAGTAAATGTGTGACGCCAGGATCCCACGCATCTCCCACAGATCTTTGCTACTGTCGGGTCAGGGGATCTCCTCATGAACCCACTCCACCAGGGCATTCATTCTGACACACAAAGATATGTGGACTTTCAGCAGAACAGCCACTCAGGCATCTGCAGATGATACAGGAGGTAGAAAGAATTTATTTAAGCAGATAGCGAGGGCAAAAGAGTCCTTGGCAAAATTTCTCTTCTAACAAAAAGCAGTCTTCAAAATCATTTCTTTTCTAACAAAGTGCAGCCTGAAAAATCAAGCTGCAAACATAAGTAAGGAAGCTAGAAGCTTGCATGAAGGAATGTTGGCAGCTACACCAATAGACAAGTGTTACTTGGGGCCAGACATGTCCAACATGGAGGCTCCATCTTCCCTTTTTTTGTTACCACATGTACAGTAATAATAATAAAAAAACGGGGGGCAAAATGGCACAGCTCGGGCAGAGAACCCACCTGTATAAGAAAAGTTTAGGGTGGGGGCTACAAGAGATTCACACCCTGTGCAAATGATACACCTGTTCCAACCAGTTTTTCATGCCCTACGGAGATCAGATATCATCTCCCCACTAGCTCATCAATAAAAAACCCTGCATTTCACTGTGAATTTGGCAACCCATTTTTCTGGTATCCTTTCTGTAGCAGAGAGCTATTCTCTTTCTTTTACCTATTAAACTTCAACTTTCAACCTCACTCTTTGTGTGTCTGCATCCTTGTTTTCTGTGGCTGTGAGACAATGAATCTCAGGTGTTACTCCAGACATCGAGGCTGTTTCATTGTAAGATCCCTCAGGATCCAAGGCAGATTCAACAGAAGGGTGAATATGGGAGTGGACCCCAACTCTTTACTTTTATTTTGAGGCCCTCTGCCCTAAATTTTAAAATAAAACCCCAACCAGGTGTTTCATGGCCATTTAAGAGATCTTTAGGGTGGCCACTATTCTCAAGACTCAGATGACAGACTTGCTGGGGAGGACTTAGCAAATTCCCCAATGCCCTCAGGGTGCCAGGAATGTTGGTTCTGTTTCTAACTGGTTTTCTTTCACAGAGAGCCTAGCCTTTGTGGGGGTTGGAAGAGGTCCAGTGGCAACTGAAAATTCCTGGCTGGGGCTACACACTTCTGTGGTACCTGAAGGCTTCTGGGCTAAGCCCAGCCTCCAACTTACCATTGGATGTCAGCAACAGGATCTCCAAGCTTTTTCTATCACACTTTCCTCCTTTTCTTCCATGGTCATTACATTTACTGTCCCTTCTCTGTATGCAATGCTGCAGAAATTTTTACAGCTCAGGGAAATAATCCTGCTAGGCAAAATCAGCAAATGTTATAGTAACCAGGAATGTAGCTCAAGGAAATGCCATTATTGTGTGTGATTTTCTGGAAACAAAGGGTCTCCCCCCAACAGTGAACATCTCTCACTTTACCTTTTGTCAGGAAAGCACATGGTATTTCAAGGCCTTCAGTGCCACCTAGTAGAATAGAAATCCTCTCCACGAGGCATCTTGTCAGTCCTTTACCGAGAAACTTCTAGTTTCCCAATTCTCCTCCTTTTTTGTGTCTCTCTACTAGAGACCAGGCTTTATGTCCCTTACATGAATTGGAAAACCCTGCCTTCAAAAGGGGGAAGGAAAATGTCCTCCCAAACCAAATTTAATCTCAATACTGTCCTATCAGCAGAAAAAAAGCCACTCAGTCTCTAAGTTCTTTCAAGGCACATATTCTGCCTCCAATTACAATGATACTTAAATAGTAAGGGGATTTTGTGTGTGGAAGTTTACCAGAACCACTGCCTAAAAATAAATAATTTAGTCCAGGCTATAATAGTAGATTATAGATCTCAACCCAGTACACTCCCTTGATTAAGGGCCCTTGCCAAATACAACTGTTACATAGTCTTTCCTGAGATATATCTAATGGGGAGCCACACAGATCACACAAGTCTAGGGATTCAAAAGGAAAGCACCAGTGGAGGACTAGAGTTGCATGGCCAAGTGTGACTAATTCCACCACTTAGCACCTCTGGATCCATGGCTGAGGGTCATGCCTGCATCCATGGGCAGAACCTTTAATGAATGTTGGGTCCCAGGGAACCAAGGAGGAAAAACAGTTTGGCGGATGCTCCCACTCTCTTCCTCTTTATCTCGGGCCATTCCAAATAAAGAAGGGGAATGAGGGCTGACTTGTCTCCCCTATATTTCTAGCCATCTCAGCCTGCACCCCTCTCAAGTGTATTGTGAAACACTGAGACTCATTCGACCCTGAAACTCTGCTTTTGCACAAGGGCATGGCCTTCTTACTAGACCTTTGCAAGTATTGCACAATCAACCCAGCTCTTCTAGCGGTCATGTCAGGCAGGCCCATAGGGAATAATTGCCCAGAACTAAGGAAGCAAATTATGAGTGAGACATCTGAGGCAGCTATTGATTATCCCCTCCAAACACGCCATCAGCTCCTCCAGTTCCACCATCACCAAAACTCCCCACTCCCACAGCTTTACTCTTACCCCTACAAGAAATGCACAATCGAAGTGATGCCACTAGGGTTCAAGTTCCCTTCTCATTGCAGGACCTCAGGTAAATAAAAGGAGACTTAGGCCAATTTTCTGACAACCCTGATAGGTATATAGAATCTTTCCAAAATTTATCTCAGGTGTTTGACCTCCCATAGAAGGATGTTATGCTGCTCCTAAGCCAAACCCTAACAGTTGCTAAAAAAACAGGCAGATCTGCAGGCAGCAGACAAATTTGAAGATGAGCAATATGTCTCCTATAATAGGCAAAAAAGGAAAAGAAAAAATAGGGAAGGTGAAAAAATAGGCGAATTATGATTCCCAATAGGAAGAGAGGCTGTACCTCTTGACAACCCAGATTGGAACCCCAGTGATTCCACAGATTAATAGAAAAGGAAACACTTTTTAATGTGCATATTGGAGGACCTGAAAAGAACTAGGGCCAAACCTCTTAATTACTCTAGTTGTCTATGATAGACCAAAAGGCAGATGAGAATCCCGCTGCATTTAGGGAAAGGCTGAGAGAGGCACTAATGAAACACACCTCCCTATCCCCTGACTCAGTTGAGGGACTGCTAATCCTAAAGGACAAATTATTACACAGGCAGCTCCCAATATTAGAATGAAACTGCAGAAGCAGGCTATAGGGCCAGACAGCACGTTGGAAAACCTCTTGAGGGACAAAGAGGAGGCCCAGGAGAAAGAGAGAAAACACATTAGAAAGACAGAGGCTCTAGTGGCTGCATTACAGGCTTGCAAGTTCCAGGATCCCTGAGGTGCATCTGCTAGTTGCTACCAATGTGGCAAGTCAGGGCACTTTAAGAAAGATTGCCCAGGCAGCAAAAGGAAGCCACCTTAACCTTGTCCAGCCTGTTGCGGGGACCACTGGAGATTGGACTGCCCTGGGAGACAGAGGTCACCAGGTCCAGAACTAATCTCACAGATGGTCCAACAGGATTGACAGGTCCCGGGGCTCAGACTCCCGGCCCTAGTGGCTAAAACTGCCATTACTGCTCAGAATCCCTGGGTGATTCTGGAAAATTGATGAGAGGGTGGATCTCTCTTTCTGGACACTGGAGCCAGTCTCTCTTTTCTCCTTTCTAATCCAGGCCTCCCCTCTTCCTGAGCACGACTGTGATGGGCATCTCAGAAAAAAAAAATATATATATATATTTATATATATATTTATATGTATATATAGGGTTATATATATATATATATATAACCCAATATTTTTCTCAACCCTTTAGTCGTAGTTGTGAGGACCTATTATTTACACATGACTTCTTAATTATGCCTGAAAGTCCCACTCCTTTATTGGATAGAAACATTTTAGCTTGCATGGGAGCCAGTATCCTTATAAGCCCAGGACAAACTCTGTCTCCACCTGGTGGAAATTAATATTAATCCAGAAGTGTGGACAACGCAAGGAAGAATAGGTTGAGCTATAGCTACTAGGCCAGTCTGAATTCACCTTAAGGATCCCACTTCTTTTCCTAACCAGAGAAAATATCCCCTAAAGCCAGAGGTTAGGAAAGGGTTAGAAGCAATTATTAATGACCTAAAAATGCAGGGCCTTCTCAAATCCTGTAACAGCCCCTGCAATGCCCCAATATTAGGGGTACAAGAACTCAATGAGGAATGGAGACTAGTTCAGGACCTCCTCCTCATTAATGAGGCCATAGTCACAATTCATCTGGTGGTCTCTAATCCCTATACCTTGCTGACTCAAATACCAGAGGGAATTAAATGGTTCACAGTCCTGGATGTAAAGAATGCCTTTTTCTATATACCATTACATCCTGACTTTCAACACCTGGTTGCCTTCAAAGACCCCCCCACTCTGGCCAAATTGCCCAGTTAACATGGACAGTGCTGCCTCAGTATTTTTGAGACAGTTCTCACTCGTTTGGACAGGCAATGTCAAAGGACCTCTTCGAGTTTTCCCATCCTCAGGCTAGGGTCTTGTAATATTTAGACAAAAATTGTCTCAGGCAAGAATCGGGAATGGATGCTAAAACTATGGCATGAAGGTATGGTAAGTTATGTATAGGTAAAAAACAAATCAAAACAGTTTTTACCTTGTCAAAGGAAAATATATCTCAAGACCCAAAAACCACTAAGCCAAAAGGAAGACAAGCTAGAAACCGCATTAGGCAAATCTGCCTCCCATTTTATTCCTAATTAAGACAGCCACAAAAATTCGAAAGCTACATACCTCCCTCACAATTTCCCCACAAGAAAATTCTTTGTGAACAAATAACTTAGTCATTCTTCTGCTCACGTGAGAAAAATACATATATGATTGCTTCCTCTGCCCTATTGTTTTAATAATAGACCAAAGCATAAGTGACCATTCCTTTATTTTCCTCTTACATGAAAATTGTGTACTTAGTGAAAAGCTAATCAGAAACTTAAGAATATGCAACCATTTTTCTCTTATCTACTTTTGACCTGGAAGCCCCCCTCCTTGCTTCAAGTTGCCCTGCCTGTCTCGCCTTTCCACACTGAACCAATGTACACATATTGATTGATGTCTCATGTCTCCCTAAAATGTATAAAACCAAGTTGTGCCCCGGCCACCTTGGGCACATGTCATCAGGACCTCTTGAGGCTGTTTCAATGGGCATGTCTTTAACCATGGCAAAATAAACTTTATAAATTGACTGAGACCTGTCAAGTAATTTAGGTTCACCACCTACTATATCCTCCACATATAACACTATACTTTTGAAATCACATGTGTATTTTTTAACCTACCAAAAATTTTCTGATACCAGATGGGTGTCCTACAATTAAATTCAATTATGACATTAACCCAAGTTAAAACAGACCACATGGATTTCACAAGACTGCCCCAAATTCAGATGCTAATAGCAATTCCAGGTTGATAAATGTGCTTCTGACCCACCATCTATATATTGGGGGTTCTCACGATGCCCTCATCAGGTTAGGTCGTTTGGCTGAGTAGCTCACAGAACTCAAGAAAGAACTTTGCTTGCAATTACCCATCTATTATAAAAAAGATACAAATCAGGAACAGAAAAAAGTAAAAGATGCATGGGAAAACCTATACAGGAAGGGGCATGGGGTTTCCATGCTATCTCAAGTCACACCACCTTCCATATGTTCTGCAATCCAGAAACTCTTCAAACCTTGTCCTTTTAGCTTTTTATGAAGCATTTATTACATAGGCATAATTAATCAAATCATTGACCACTGTTAATCAGCTTCTCTTCCCTCCCTGCAGGTTGGGGGTGAGGCTAAAGTTCTAACACTGTAATTCTATGGTTGGTTTCTTTGGCAGCAAGTTCTTATTCTGAGGCTGTCTCTGAGCCCCCAGCCCTCAGTCATCTCATTAGCATACAAAAAGACACTTTCACTTTAGAGATTCCCAGCGGTTTTAGGAGCTTCATGTCAGAATATAGAGCTTCTAAAACTAAAATACAAAGAAAGAAATTAAAAATATATTTTTTCTTATATCACAATTAGAAATAGGATATTCACATGGTATCAAATTATCTCTCCATAAGATAATAATGAAGGTAAAAACAATAACTACAGCGGAGAACCCTAGCAGAAATCACTTTGACTAAGTGATATAATATTTTCTCATCAGTAGTAGAACATGCAAATATCATATGTCCCCTCTATGGTCCACTGAGAAGGGCTTAGAATGGCCCAATTCATTCACCTTGCCCATTGCTAAGAAAGCCAATTTATGAAGACATAGGAGTTGCAAGAGAGAAAGAGTAATTCATGCAGAGCCAGCTGTGCGGGAGACAGAAGTTTTATTATTTCTCGAATCAGTCTCCCCTCAAACTCTGGGATTGGAGTTTTTAAGGATAATTTGGTGGGTAGAGGGCCAGTGAGTCAGGTGTGCTAATTGATTGGGTCACAAATGAAGTAATAGGAAGTCAAAGCTGTCCTCTTGTGCTAAATCAGTTATTGGGTGGGGACCACAAGACCAGATGGGCCAGTTTATTGATCTGGATGGTGCCAGGTGATCCATCAAGTGCAGGGTCTGCAAAATATCTCAAGCACTGGTCTTAGGTTTTACAATAGTGATGTTATTCCCAGGAGCAATTTGGGAAGGTTTAGAATCTTGCAGCCTCCATTTTCATGACTCCTAAATTGTAATTTCTAATCATCTGGCTAATTTGTTAGTCCTGCAAAGGCAGTCTAGTTCCCAGGCAGGAAGGGGGTTTGTTTTGGAAAAGGGCTGTTATCATCTTTGTTTCAAAGCTCAACTATAAACTATAGTTTATAGTTATATAAACTATAAACTTATAGTTATATAAGTTTCTCCCAAATTTAGTTCAGCCTATGCCCCAAAATGAACAAGGACAGCTTGGAGTTTAAAAACAAGATTGAGTTGGTTAGGTCAGATCTTTTTCATCATCTCAGTTTTTTGCAATGGTGGTTTAAGGGGCACATGATAATTTCTGTAGTATTTCTGCAAAAATCATAATCTGAATCTCATTATAAAGAATGCTCAAACTCAAATTGAAGGACTTTCTACAAAACTGGCCTGAATTACTTTAAAAATTTAGTGTAATAAAAGACAAAAAAAAAGTTTCTAGATAAAGTAGGTTAAAGAAAAATGACAACTAAAAGCAACACATTATCTTAAATTTTCTTTAGCAAGGAAGGCTATCGTTGAGTTAATAATAACCTAACTTATAAATTTGAGTTCACCCTATTATTATTTTACTTTAATACCTTCAAATTGAAACATCCCCCCCAGCAATCATTTTTTCTCTTTTTCATCTTCATTTCAAAGAATTTCAAGTGGTAACTTCAGCTCACAAATCTAAAGAATATGATAATTTTATCTTGGTTTTGTTAAATTGAGAGAATTAAATTGTTTGAGTTACCCTGGAATAGGATGCCTACTTTTCAAGTTACTTGGGACCTGAAGATTTCAAAGGAAAATTTCTATATTAGAAATTTCTCTCATTGCAGAAGTAAAGAGTGACATAATGAGCATGATTTTAAGGGCAACAATGGTTTAACCAATGCCCATCTTTTAACTACTTCCATTAACTGATATCTGAAATGATATGAGAAACATTTTATCTCTTAGTTTAAGAGGTTTCCTATTCAAATGGTAGTTATCCATTTCTCAATACTTCCTAATCTTAATATGAATAAAGGTGCTGGGCACAAATATGGCTAGGAGAGAAGAGAAAAAATATAACTAATGGCTCTGAGCACTGAATTGACATGTGTTTGAAGGTAATATAGGTAGGTATAGCAAGGAATTCTCACATGTTGTGGGAGGGACCCAGTGGGAGGTAATTGAATCATTGGGGCAGGACTTTCCTGTGCTGTTTTCGTAATAGTGAATAAGTTTCACGAGATCTGATGTCTACATAAAAATGGAAGTTTCTCTGCATAAGTTCTCTTCTCTTGTCTACAGTCATGTAAGACGTACCTTTCACCATGATTGATTGTGAAGCTTCTCCAGTGATGTCACGTGGAACTCTAAGTCCAATAAATCTCTTCTTTTTTTCTTTTTTGTAAATTGCTTAGTCTTGGGTATATCTTTATCAGCAGCACAAAAATGGACTAATACAGTAAATGGGTACCAGTAGAGTGGCGCACAGCTGAAAAGATTCCGGAAAATATGGAAGCGACTTTGAAACTGGGTAACAGGCAGAGGTTGGAACAGTTTGGAGGGCTCAGAAGAAAACAGAAAAATGTGCAAAAGTTTGGAACTTCCTAGAGACTTGTTGAATGGCTTTGCCCAAAATGCTGATAATGATATTGACAATCAGGTCCAGGCTGAGGTGGCCTCAGATGGAGATGAGGAACTTGTTGGGAACTAGAGCAAAGGTGACTCTTGTTATGTTTAGGCAAAGAGACTGCTGGCATTTTGCCACTGACACAGAGATTTGTGGAACTTTGAACTTGAGAGAGATGATTTAGGGTATCTGGTGGAAGAAATTTTTAAGCAGTAAAACATTCAAGATGTGACTTGGGTGCTCTTAAAGGCATTCAGTTTTAAAAGAGAAACAGAGCATAAAAATTGAGAAAATTTGCAGCCTGACAAAGGGCTAGAAAAGAAAATGCCATTTTCTGAGGAGAAATTCAAGCCAAATGCAGAAATTTGCATAAGTAACAAATAACCAAATCTTATTCTCTAAGGCAAGGGGGAAAATGTCTCCAGGGCATTGCAGAGGTCTTTAGAGCAGCCCCTCCCATCACAGGCCTGGAGGCCTAGGAAGAAAAGGTGGTTTCCTGGGCCAGACCCATGGATCCCTTGCTCTGTGTGGCCTAGGGACTTGGTACCCTATGTTTCAGCTGCTCCAGCCATGGCTAAAAGGGGCCAAGGTACAGCTCGAGCTGTTGTTTCAGAGAGTGAAAACCCCAGGCCTTGGCAGTTTCCATGTGGTGTTGAGCCTGCGGGTACATGGAAGTCAAGAATTGAGTTTTGGGAACCTCTGCCTAGATTTCAGAAGATGTATGGAAATGCCTGAATGCCCAGGCAGAAGTTTGCTGCAGGGGCAGGGCCCTCATGGAGAACTTCTGCTAGGGAAGTGCAGAAAGGAAATGTGGGGTCTGAGCCCTGATACAGAGTCCCTACTGGGGCACTGCCTTATGGACCTGTGAAAAGAGGGCCACCACCATCCAGACCCCAGAAAGGTGGATCCACTGACAGCTTGGACTGTGCACCTAGAAAAGCTGCAGACACTCAGTGCTAGCCTGTGAAAGCAGCCGGTGGAGGTTGGGGAGGACTATACCCTGGGAGCTCACCACTTGCATCAGCATGACCTTGATGTGAAACATGGAGTCAAACGAGATCATTTTGGAGTTTTAAGATTGGACTGCCGTGCTTGATTTCAGACGTGGATGGGGCCTGTAGCCACTTTCTTTTGGCCAATTTCTCCCATACGAAAGTGCTGTATTTACCCAATGCTTTTACCCCCACTGTATCAAGGAAATAACTAACTTACTTTTCATTATATAGGCTCATAGGCAGAAGGCACTTGCCTTGTCTTGCATGAGACTTTGGACTGTGGACTTTTGAGTTAATGCTGAAATGAGTTAAAACTTTGGAGGACTGTTGGGAAGGCATGATTGGTTTTGAAATGTGAACACATGAGATTTGGGAGGGGCCAGGGGTGGAATGATATGGTTTGGCTCTGTCTCCTCCCAAATCTCATCTTAAATTCTCACATATTGTGGGAGGGACCCAGTGGAAGGCAATTGAATCATTGAAGCAGGTCTTTTTTGTGTTGTTCTCGTAATAGTCAATAAGGCTCTGGATATCTGATGGTTATATAAAAATGGGAGTTTCCCTGCACTAGTTCTCTTCTCTTGTCTCCCTCCATGTGAGACATGTCTTTCATCTTCCACCATAATTGTGAGGTCTGCCCAGCCACATGGAACTGTAAGTCCAATACACCTCTCTTTTTTCTTTTTTTTTTTTTTTTTTTTTTTGGTAAATTACTCTGTCTCGGGTATGTCTTTATCAGCAGTGTAAAAATGGACTGCCACATTCACCACAAGCTGACTAAAGAGCCCTTGACACTTAAGTGAACATTGCTGGTACTCTGGGAGTATACCCAGTGGGACTGTGGTGATTGTGGACATGGGGAAAAACTCCTCTTCCAGGGAAAGAGGGAGGGAAGAATAGGAAGGACTTTGTCTTGTGGTTTCAGTTCTAGCTGAGACACAATAGAATAGCACACCAGATAGATTTCCAAGTTTTCTGACTTCATGCCCTGGGTCACAGGCAGCATCACTGGATCTGCCCAGGGCCTATGGGAACTCACTGCCCTGAAGGAAAGAATGCAAGATAGGCTGGTTTTACTACCTGCTGGTTGTAGAGCCCTAGGGCCTTGAGCACACTTTAGGTATTAGCCCAGTAGTGGTAGCAGCACCCCTTGGGAAAGACCCAGTGCTATGTTGGCTTTGAGTCTGACCCAGCAGAGTCCCAGTGGTGGTGACAAAATGGGTGCCTGTGTCACACCTCTTCTAGCTCCAGGCAGCTCATCACAGAAAGAGACAATCCTTTTGCTTGAGAGAAAGTAAGGAAAAAGGTTAAGAATCTCTGTTAATTCAGAGAAATCTTCTGGATCTTATCAAAGATCCTCAAGGTAGAACATATACAACTGTGCAAGACTCACAGGGCTTGGGGTGCACCCCAATGCAGATATAACTATCATGACCAAAGATTTAGATCACAACCTTAAAGTTATTTTGAATACCTGGAAAACCTTTTTAACAAGGATGGGCATAAACAGGCTCAGATTGCAATGATTACCATAAATGCTTAATTCCTCAATGCCCAGACATCAATGAGCATCCACAAACATCAAGACCATCTGGGAAAACATGACTGCATCAAGTGAACTACATAAGGCACCAGGGACAAATCCCAGAGAGACAGATATGTAACTTTTCACAGAGAGAATTCAAATTAGCAGTTTTAATGAAACTCAGAGAAATTCCAGGTAACACAGGAAAGGAATCTAGAATCCTATCAAGTAAATTTAACAAATAAATTTAAATAATTTTTAAAAATTAAGTAAAAAATTTCTGGAGTTGAAAAATGCAACTGAGACACTGGAGAATCCATCAGAGTCTCTCAACAGCAGGATTAAACAAGCAGAAAAAAATTAGTGAGCTTTAAGACAGTATATTTGAAGACACACAATCAGAGGAGATAAAAGAATAAGTGACAAATATATGAAGAAAAGTTTAGAAAATAGCATCAAAAGGGCAAATCCGAATTATTTGTCTTAAAGGCAAGGTAGAGAGAGAAAGTGGAGTAGAAAGTTCATTCAAAGTAACATAACAGAGAACTTCCCAAACCTAGAGAAATATATAAAGACTTAATTACAAGAGGGCTATAGAACACCAAACAGATTTACCCCCCAAAGAAGATTATTCCAACGCATTTAATAATCAAACTTTCAAAGGTCAAGAATAAATAAAGGATCCTAAAAGCAGCAATAGAAAAAATAATTACATACAATAGAGCTCCTACTTCTGGCAGCAGACTTCTCACTGAAAACCTTAAAGACCAGGAGAAAGTAGTATAAAATATTTAAATTGTTGAAGAAAAAAATCATCATAGAACAGTACAACCAGTGAAAATATTCATCAAATGTGAAAAAACAAATAAATACTTTGTAAGATCAAAAAAAACTGTAGAATTTTAGGATACAAGACCTGTCCTACAAGAACTGCTAAAGGAAGTTCTTCAATTTGAAAAGTAAAGACATTAATGAGCAATAAGAAATCATCTAAAGTTACAAAACTCGCTCAATAGGTACAACAAAAAATACAGAATATTATAACACCATAATGATTGTGTGTAAACTACTAATATTTTAAATAGAAATACAAAAACACAAACCAATAAAAATAATGACTACAAACATTTCTCAAGACATAGACTATGAAATCAGATATAAATGGAAGCAACAAAAAGTTAAGAAGTGTGGAGACATAGTTAAAGTATACAGCTTTTATTAGTTTTCTATTAGCTTGTTTTTTACTGTGCTTTTGCAATCAGTGTTGAGTTTTCATCATTTCAAAATAGTGGATTATAAGATATCACTTGCAAGCCTCATGGTAACATCAAATTTAAAAACAAACAATAGATACACACATAAAAAAAGTTAGAACATATCACCAGAGAAAATAACTTCATGAAAGTGAAGAAAAAGATAGAAGTAAGAGAAGACCACAAAACAACTAGAAAACAAATAATATTATGGCAGGATTAGGTTCTTATTTATGCATAATAACATAAAATGTAAATGGACTAAACCCTCCAATCAAAAGACATAGACTGCCTGAATGGATGAAAAAACAAGACTGATTGATCTATTGCCTACAAGAAACACCCTTCACCTATAAAGACACACATAATAAAAATAAAGTGATGGAAAAATATATTTCATGCCATAGAAATAAAAAAAGAGCTGAAGTAGTTATATAAGACAAAACGGATTTTAAGGCAAAAACTATAAAAATGGACAAGAAAGGTTATTATGTAATGATAAAGGGGTCAATTCTGCAACAAGCTATAATAATTGTAAATATATATGCACCCAACAATGGAGCACTCAGCTATATAAAGCAAATACTATTAAACCTAAAGAGAGAGATAGACCCCAATACAATAACAGCTTGAGATTTCAATGCCCCACCTTCAGCATTGGACAGATCATCCATACAGAAAATCAACAAAAAAGCATTAGATTTAATTTGCACTATAGACCATATGGACCTAATATATATTTTCAGAACATTTCATCCAATGCCTGCAGAATACACATTTTTTTTCTCAGCACATGGATAATTCTCAAAGATAGGCTATATGTTAGGCCATAAAAACAAGTCTTAAAACATTCAGAAAAATTGAAATAATATCAAGCATCTCCTGTGACCACAATAGAATAAAACTAGAAATCAAAGACAGGAGAAACTTTGGAAAATATTCAAACACATGGAAATTAAACAATGTGCTCCTGCCTGACCAGTGGGTCAATGAATAAATTAAGAATATTGAAAAATTTCTGAAACAAATGATAATGAAACACAACAAAGCAAAATTTATGGCATATACCAAAAGTAATATTAACAGGAAGGTTTGCAGTTATATGTGTCTCCATTGAAAAAGAAGAATAACTTCAAATAAACAAGCTAACATTGCA
The DNA here is from genome assembly GCF_000001405.40 of Homo sapiens. Taxonomy (NCBI): domain Eukaryota; kingdom Metazoa; phylum Chordata; class Mammalia; order Primates; family Hominidae; genus Homo; species Homo sapiens. The sequence continues at coordinate 82,638,966 of NC_000023.11, read as the reverse complement.
TCTTAAAGAATTAGTAAAGCTGACCAGGCAGGGTGGCTCACACCTGTAACCCCAGGACTTTGGGAGGCCGAGGAGGGTGGATCATCTGAGATCAGCAGTTGAAGACCAGCCTGGCCAACATGATGAAACCCCCTCTCTACCAAAAATACCCCAAAAAATTAGCCAGGTGTGGTGGCGGGCACCTGTAATCCCAGCTACTCAGGAGGCTGAGGCAGGAGAATCACTTGAACCCGGGAGGCGGAGGTTGTAGTGAGCAGAGATCGCATCATTGCACTCCAGCCTGGGTGACAAAAGTGAAACTCCATCTCCAAGATTAGTAGAAAAAAATAATAAAGCTTAGAAAAGAAATAAATAAAGAAAACCATACAAAAGATTAACGAAACAAATGTTTTATTGAATGAAAAAAATTGACAAACCTTTGGACAGGCTAAAACAAAAACAAAAACAACCAAAAGACCAAAATTAAAAAATAATTAGGGAAAAAAAAGACATTAAAACTGATACCACAGGAATTCAAAGTATCACTAGTGGCTATTATGAGCAACTCTCTGCCAATAAATAGAAAAATCAAGAAGAAATGAGTAAATTCCAAGACACTTACAATCTACCAAGATTAAACCATAAAGACATCCAAAACCTGAACAGACTAATAAAAAGTAATGTGACTGAAGCCATAATAAAAACTACTCTGGCCAAAAAAGAAATAAGCCCAAGACCTGATGGATTCACAGCTGAACTCCCCTAAATATTTAAGGAAGAACTAATACCAATCCTGCTCAAACTATTCCAAAAAAAAAGGAGGAGGAGATACATCCAAACTCATTATTTGAGGCCAGTATTATTCTAATACCAAAACCAGATAAAGATACATGAGAAAAAAAAAAACTATAGAGCAATATCAACAATAAATACTGAAGCAAAAATCTTAAACAAAATACTGTTATAGTAAACTTAATTAAACATATTAAAAAAAGGCCATTCGTGGCAAAGTGAGATGTATCCTAGAATGCAAGGATGATTCAACACACACAAATCAATTAATGTGATATTAATACATTATAGGAAGAGAATAAACGAAAACCATGTGATTATTTCAATTGATACTAAAAAGGCATTAAATAAAATTCAACAATTTTTATGATAAAAACTTAAAAAAACTGGGTATATTGAAATCCTATTCTGCATCTATGGAGATAATCATATGTTTTTTTTCTCTAGAAAGAACAAGATCATGTCCTTTGCAGGGGCACAGATGGAGCTGGAGGCCACCACCCTTAGCAAATTAATGTGAGAACAGAAAATCAAACACTGTGTGTTCTCACTTATAAGAGGGAGCTAAATAATGACAACGCATGCACACGTAGAGGGGAACAACACACACCGGAGCCTATTGGAGAGTGTAGGATGGAAGGAAGGAGAAGATCAGGAAAAATAACTAATGGGTACTAGGCTTAATACCTGGGTGGTGAAATAATCTGTACAGCAAACCCGCATGACACCAGTTTACGTATGTAAGAAACCTGCACATGCACCCCGAACTTAAAATAAAAGTTAAAAAAAACCGGGTACAGAAAGCATATATCTCAACGTAATAAAAACCATATATGACAGACCAACAGTACCATATTGCATGGGAAAAAGCTGAAAACCTTTCCTCTAAGATTGGGAGCAGAATAAGGATGCCCCCTTTTGCAACCATTATTAAACATAATACTGGGAGTTCTAGGTAGAGCAATTAGAGAGGATAAAGCAATGAAGGGCACCAAATTAAAAAGAAAGAAGTGAAATTATTCTTGTTTGCTGATGACATGATATCATATTTAGAAAAAGCTACATGTTTCACAAAATATTAGAACTGATAAATTCAGTAAAATTGTAGGTGACAAAATCAACATAAAAATTAGTATCATTTCTATATGCCAACAGTGAACAATCTGAAAAGAAATCAATAAAGGAATCTTATTTATAATAGCTACCAGTAAAATAAAATATGTAGGAATTAACCAAAGACATGAAAGATCTCTAAGATAAAAAATTATACAATAGTTCTTCAAAAAATTGAATAAGACACAAACATAGAAAGATATTTCATGTTCACGAATTGAAAAAATCAATATTGTTAAACTGTCCATACCACCAAAAGCAATCTACAGATTCAGTGCAATCTCTATCAAAATACCAATGATGTTCTTCATGGAAATAAAAAAAAGTCCTAAAATTTATATGACATTACAAAAGACTTAGAATAGTCAGTAATTTTGAGCAAAAATAACAAACTGGAGGAACCACATTTCCTAACTTCAAATTATACTACATATCTCTAGTATCCAAAACAGGATTGTATTGGCAAAAAAGAGACACATAGAACAATGAAACAGAATAGTACCCCTAAATAAATCCACACATCTACAGTGAACTTACATTCCACAGAGACGCAAAGAACATTAATTGAAGAAAGTACAGTTTCTTCAATAATTGGTGCTGGGAAAACAGGATATCCATATGCAGAAGAATAAAGTTAGACCCACATTTCTCACAATATATGAAAGACAAAACAAAGTGTATTAATGAGTTATATTTAAGCTCACAAACTATGAAGCTACAAAAAGAAAAATTTGGGGATCTCCAGGACATTGGTCTGGGCAAAGATTTGTTTGAGTAATACTCTTAAAGCACAGGCAACCAAAGCAAAAATATACAAATGGAATCACATCAAGATAAAAAGCTTCTGCACAGGAAAAGAAACAATCAACAAAGTGAAGAGAAAACTCACAGAATGAGAGAAAATATTCGCAAATTATTCATTTGACAAAGAATTAATAACCAGAATATATAAGGAGCTCAAACAACTCTGTAGGAAAAAATCTAAGAATTTGACATAAAAAAGAAAAAGATCTGAATAGACATTTCTCAAAATAAAAGACATACAAATGACAAAAAGACATATGATAAGGTGCTAAACATCACTGATCATCAGATACATGCAAATCAAAGCTATAATGAGATATCATCTCACCCCAGTTGAAATGGCTTATGTCCAAAAGACAGACAATAACAAATGCTGGCAAAGAAGCGAAGAAAAGGGAATCTTTGTACACTGTTGTTGGAGATGTAAATTAGTACAACCACTATGGAGAACAGTTTGGAGATTCTTCAAAAAACTAAGAATAGAGCTACCATATGATCTTGTAATCCCATAGTTAGGTATATACCCTCTATATAGGAAATCACTATAGTGAAGGGATATTTGCACTCTTAAGTTTATTGCAGCACTATTCACAATAGTCCAGATTTGGAAGCATCCTAAATGTTCATTAACAGATAAACGGATAAATAAAATGTGTTGCATATACAAAATGAAATTCTACTTAGCTATAAAAAAGCACAAGATTCTGTTATTTGTAACAACATGGATGGAACTAGTAGTTATTACATTGAGTAAAATAAGTCAAATACAGAAAGATAAACTTTGCATGTTCTCACACACTTGTGGGATCTAAATTACAGGAAAAAAAAATGAACTCATGGAGATATACAGTAGAAGGATGGTTACCAGAGGCTAGAAAGGGTAATGTGAGGTAGGGAAAATAGGGATGGTTAATGGATACAAAAATATTGTTAGGTAGAATAAATAAAATCTAGATAACACAGGAGGATGACTACTGTCAACAATATTTTTGTTGTTGTGCATTTTAAAATAACTAAAGGAGTATAATTGGAATGTTAGTAACAAAAAAATGGTAAATGCTTGTGGTGATGATACCCCATTCACACTGATGTTATTATTATGCATTGTATTCTTGTATCAAAATATCTCGTGTACTGCATATATATATATATATAATATATATATATACTATGTACCCACAAAAATTAAAAACAAAAGTGAAAATAGAGGTAATGAAGCTCTTTTTAAAAAGGAAAAGTGGGAAGCAAAGCCTCAGTCATCAAATTTTATAGACATTCTATTTATCCTAATAAGTGCTCTGTCTTTGGAGCAATTGTGACACGTAATTTCATAGTATGTTTTAGGTTTTTATATATTCTGAAGCTCCCTAATAAAACAAGAAATGTAAAGAAGCTACAAATAGCTGCAATAAAGTAGTTTCATTTTACAACTCAGAAATAGAGGATGATATTTGCCTTGTGAATAGAATGCAGTAGATTGGATTAGCTTGAGTCACAACTCTAGTGTTGCTTTTTAAATCAATTATGCCTTTCTTAACACAGTCTGTTTCTTTATGCAGGGAGCTCATGGTAACCAGACTTCTATCTTTCATGTGCTTATTAAACTCAATCTGAGGCCTTCTGCAAACAATGGATATTTAATTACCATATTATCACTTGACTAAATTTTGATTAAATGCTCATTTAAAATACCTCAAATATTGTCATTCAAGTTAAGGTAGATTTCATTCTTTATAAATTCTCTCTTCTTCTACAATGAAATTCAAATTCATCAAGGCCTAGCATAGCAGTGTATTTTGTAAATGTCTGTAAGGCATTCCACAATCATGGATCACAGTAATAGCAATAGTATCATTTTTCAAACTTATATAACAGATTCAATTCTGCTACGAAATAAAGTTTCATAGATACATAGGGGATACAATAAAAGACATATCTCATATAGTATTTCAGATTTTGTCACATGTTGTAACTTCAGAAGCTGCCACACTGTTCTCCTTATAATCTCTTGCTTTTCCAGTGTACAATGTTCACATTAATTTATATATTAATTCAATTGCTTATTTTCACCAGTGTTTATTTTTACCAGTTTTAAGCACAAGGGACAGTGCTAAGTGTTGTTCAAGATACAGACATAAGAAGGGCACATTTTCATACGCTTCGAAGTACAGAAAGTCCTCGACTTATGGTGGTTTGACTTACAATTTTTCAACTATATAATGCTATGAAAGTGATTTGAATTTGATATGCTCCTAACCTTACAGTGGGTTTACATGCATATAAACCCATTGTAAGCCAAAAATATATCATAAGTCAAAAATGCAAGTTTACTTACAATATTTTCAACATATGTTGGGCTTATGGAGAAGTAACCTCATCATAAGTTGAGAGCATATGTGTATGATTTAGTAGATACGGTGTAATAAGAATAAGAACTAAAAGTGACTCAAGGGAGTAAAAATTACATTTTTTCTTTTCTTTTCTTTTTTTTTTTTTTTACAATTAGAAAGAGGAGTTTGACCTCCAAATCTCACACCAAACCTTTGAATCTATGACTTTATTGTGGAGATGCTTAAGGGAGGCTCTTGCATGAGAGAGCTGTTGAGATGGACCTGTGAGAATGGATATGATTTCAATGGCTGTTCATTGAGAGGAAAGAAGTTTAAGTACTGAGCTCAGTATGAACACAGATACAGTAGTGGTAAAGTTAAGGCTTGGTTTGGGGACAATAAAGTTGTCAAGTTTGACTGTCGTTGGCTATTGTAGAAACTAGTAGAAGAGAAAACTAGAAAATTGTCTAAAATGTGGCAAATCTATTTCAGAGTAAAATAAACCCTGGTATTTTGTCTTGCATTATCTAAAAGGCCAATAATTGGAGTATATTCCATTGTTTAAACCCTTGTAAAATCTGAAATTTTACTTGGGATGTAGCACATTAAGCTAATTTACTAATTCAGGTCTTCTGTTGTTAATTTTCTGCCTCATTCTATCTATTATGATTTTATATAAAGTCTTAACTATTTTTAAATTATTTTATATTTCTAATTTTTATGTGTACATAGCAGGTATATAATGAGATATATTTATAAAGGAATACAATTAATAATAATCACAGCAGGATAAATGCGATATATTTATGAAGGAATACAATGAATAATAATCACATCATTGTAAATGAGATATCCATCACCTCAAGCATTTGCCATTCCTTTGTGTTATTAATTATTTAATTGTACTCTTTTAGTTATTTTAATATGCACAATAAATTATTGTTGACCAGTAGTCACCTTCTTGTGCTATCAAATACTAGATTTTTTTTTATTATTATACTTTAAGTTTTAGGGTACATGTGCAAAACATGCAGGTTAGTTACATAATACTAGATCTTATTCTATCTAATTATAGTTTTGTACACATTAAACATCCACAATCTCCCCACCCACTAACTATCCTTCCCAGTCTCTTGTTACCATCATTATACCCTCTATAGCCATGAAATAAATTGTTTTAATTTTTAGTTCCAACAAACCAAGTGAGAACATGAGAAACTTGTCATTTTTTTGCCTATCTTAGTTCACTGAATATAGTGACCTCCAGTTCAATCCATGTAATTGCAAATGACAGAATTTTTTTTTTTTATGGCTGAATAGTACTTCATTATGTATATGTACCGTGTTTTCTTCATTCATCTTTTGATGGACACTTAGGCTGCTTTCAAAACTTGGTTATTGTTTTTTTTTTGTTTTTACTTTTTATTTCATTTTTTATTTTTTAGGTGTATATATTTGTGGGGTGTATGAGACATTTTTAACACAAGGATGCAATATAAAATAATTATATCATGGAGAACGTGATATACATCCCCTTAAGCATTTATTCTCTTTGTTACAATCAATGCAATCACATTTTAAAAGTTATTTTAAACTGTACAATTAAGTAACCATTGACTGTAGTCACCCTGGTGTATGATGAAATATTATTTCTTATTCATTCTTACTATTTTTTTGTGCCCATTAACCATCCCCACCTCTTTCCCAGCTCCTTACTACCCTTTCCAGCCTCTGGTAACCATACGTCTACTCTATGTCCATGAGATTAGTTGTTTTGACTTTTAGAACCTACAAATAAGTGAAAATATGTAATGTTTGTTTTTCTGTACATGGTGCATTTTATTTAACATAATGATCTCCAATTCCATCCATGTTGTGACAAATGACAAGATCTCATTTTTTATGGCTGAATAGTACTCCATTGTGTACATATGCCACATTTTCTTTATTCATTCATCTGCTAATGAACACTTAGGTTGCTTCCAAATCTTGGCTATTCTAAACAGTGCTGCAACAAAATTAGAAATGCAGATACCTATTCAGTATACTGATTTCCTTTTCTTTTGTTATATACATAGGAATGGGATTGCTAAATAACAGTAGCTGTAATTTTACTTTTTTGAGGAAACTCTAAACAGTTCTCATAGTGGTTGTAGTAATGCACATTCCCACCAACAGTGTAAGTAGGTTCCCTTTTATACACATTCTTACCAGCTTTGTAGCCTGTCTTTTTGATATGAGCCATTTCAACTGTGGTGAAATTACATCTCATTGTAGTTTTGATTATCAATTCTGTTATGAAAAAATAGTATAGAGCCCCTTTTCCCATGACTGTTTGTCGCTTGTAAGTCTTATTTTGAGAAATATGTGTTCACTTCTTTTGCCCATTTTTAAATCTGATTATTAGATTTCATTTCCTATAGACTTCTTTGAGCTTCTTATATATTCTGGTTATTAATCCCTTGTCAAATGGAGAGTTTGCAAATATTTTCTGCCGTTCTGTAGGTTGTTGCTTCACTTTGTTGATTTTTTTCTTTACTGTTCAGGAACTTTTTAAGTTGATGTAATCCAATTTGTCCATTTTTGCTTTGTTTGTCTGTGCTTGTGGGGTATTGCTCAAGAAACTTTTGCCCAGTCCAATGTCCTGGAGAGTTTCTCCAATGTTTTCTTGTAGTAGTTTCACAATTTGATGTCTTAGATTTAGGTTTTTCATTGATTTTGATTCGATTTTTATATATGGCATGAAATAAAGGTCTAGCTTAAATCTGCTGCATATGGATATTCAGTTTCCCCAGCACCATTGATTAAAGAGGCTGTTTTTTCCCCAGTGTATGTTTTTGGCACCTTTGTCAAAAAATGAGTTAACTGTAAGTTAGTAAATTTGTTTTTGAGTTCTCTATCCTGTTCTCTTTTTCTACATGTCTTTAAAAAAAAAAGAAAAGAAGAAAAAATCATGCTGTTTTCATGACTATAGCTCTGTAGTATAATTTAAAGTTAGGTAATATGATTCCTCTAGTTTTGTTCTTTTTGCTTAAGGTAGCTATGGCTATTTTGGGTGTTTATTGGTTCCATATAAACTTTAGGATTGTTTTTTCTAATTCTGTGAAGAATGTCGTGGTGTTTTGATAGGCATGCATTGAATCTGGAGATTGTTTTCAGTATTTTGGACAGTTTAACAATATTGATTTTTTCAATCCATAAACATGAACTATTTTTCCTTCTTTTGGTATCCTCTTCAAGGACTTTTATCAGTGTTCTAGGTTTCATTATAGAGATATTTTACTTTGTTCAATGTCTAGGTATTTAATTTTATTTGAGGCTATTGTAGATGGAATTACTTTTTTCATTGTTTTTTCAGATTGCTCACTGTTGGCATATAGAAATGTTACTGATTTTTCTATGTTGATTTTGTACCCTGATGTTTTTTTGAACTTGTTTATTAGTTCTAATAGTTTTCTTGTGGAGCCTTGGGATTTTTTCAGATATACAATTACATTATCTGCAAACAAACATGATTTGTCTTCTTTCATTCAAATTTGGATGCCATTTACGTTTTTCTCTTGTCTGATTGCTCTAGCTAGGGCTTCCAGTATTTTGTTAAATAACAGTGGAAAAAGCAGTCATTCTTGATGTGTTCCAGATATCATGAGAAAGTCTTTCTACTTTTCCTCATTTAGTATGGTACTAGCGGTGTGTCTGATATAGATGTCTTTTGTTGTGTTAAGATATGTTTCCTGTATACCCATTTTTTGATATTTTATCATAAAGCGATGTTGAATTTTATCAAATCCTTTTTTGTCATCAATTTCAATTATCATATAGTTTTATCCTTTATTTTATAGATATATCACATTGTTGGATATGTGTATTTATTCTAAGTGGATAAATCCCACTTGGTCATGATAAATTATTCTTTTACTGTTTTGTTGAATTCAGTTTTTTAGTATTTTGTTTAGAATTCTCACATTCATATTTATCAGATATATTGTCCTGTCATTTTCCTTTTTAAATGTGTTTTTTTCTTTTCTTTTTTTTTAATATCAGGTTAACACTGACCTCATAGAATGAGTTTGGGTGTATTTCCTCTTCCTCTATTTTTCAGAATAGTTTGAATAGGTTTGGTATTAATTATTCCTTAAATGTTTGGTAAAATTCAGTAGTGAAGCCACAAGGCCTGTAGCATTTTTTTTTTCTGGAATTCATTTTATTATGGCTTTGAGCTCATCACTTGTTATTAGTCTGTTAAGGTTTTGGATTTCTCCCTGGTTCATTCTTCATAGTTTACATGTTTCTAAGAATTTGCCTATTTCTTCTATATTTTTCAACTTATTGGCATATAGTTGTTAATAATAGTAACCACTAATTATACTTTTCATTTTTGCAGTATCTGTTGTAATGTTTTCTTTTTTATTTCTAATTTTATTTATATAGATCTTCTTTCTTTTTGTGTTAGTCTGGCCAATAGTTTGTCAATTTTGCTTAACTTTTCAACAAAACAACTTTATATTTAATTAATTTTTTGTATTTTTTTCAAATTTATTTCTGCTATGATTTTTAATATTTATTTTCTACTACTAATATTTGGTTTGGTTTGCTTTTGCATTTTTACTTCTTTAAGAGGCATTGTTACATTGTTTATTTGCAATTGTTTTCTTTTTTTGATGCAGGCACTCATAGCTGTAATTTTCTCTCTGAGTACTGATTTTGGTATATTCAATAGGTTTTGGTGTGTTGTGCTTCCATTATCACTTGTTTCAAAATATTTTAATTTTTTTCTTAGTTTTTTCATTGACCCACTGGTAATTCAGGAGCATATTGTTTAATTTCCATGTATTTGTGTAGTTTCAAAAGTCTTCTTGTTACTGATCCTAGTGTTATTTTATTGTCATCAGAAAAGATGCTTGACATTGTTTCAATGTTTTTTTCAAAGTTTTAAGACTTGTTTTGAGACCTAACATATAGTTTATCCTTGAGAATGATCAAAGGGCTGAGAAGAAGAATGTGTATTCTGCAGCCACTGGATGAAATGTGTAAATATCTATTAGATTAATTTGGTTTATAGTGCAGATTCAGTCAAACGTTTCTTTGTTAATTATCTGTATGGACTATCTGTCCAATGCTTAAAGTGGGTTGTTGAAGTCTCCAGCTATTATTCTATTGTGGACTACCTGTTTCTTTTAGCTCTAATATTTCCTATATATATCTGGGTCCTCCAATGTTGAATGTGTGTATATATATAAGCCAAGTGCTTGTGCTTGAAAAGTTCTCTGTTATTATTCCTTTGAATATTTTTTTTACCCCTATCTCTTTTTCTACCTCCTCTCTAAGGCCAATAAGTCTCAAGTTTTTCCTTTTGAAGTTATTTTCTAGATCCTTTAGACTTGCTTGCTTCATTGTTTTTCTTCTTTTTTTCTTTGGTCTCCTCTGACTGCATATTTTCAAATAGCCTGTCTTCAAGCTCACTAACTTTTTCTTCTTGATAATTCTGCTGTTAAAAAACTCTGATGCTTCTTCTGACGGTATTCTACCAACTGCATTTTTCAGCTACAGAATTTCTGCTTCATGCTTTAAATTACTTAAGGTCTTTGTTAAATTTATCTGAAGAATTCTGAATTTCTTTTCTGTGTTACCTTGAACTTATTTTAGTTTCCTCAACACACATCTTTTGAATTATCTGTCTGAGAGTTCACTTATCTCTGTTTTTTTTTTCCAGGATTGATCTCTGGTGCCTTATTTAGTTCATTTGGTGAAGTTATGTTTTCCTGGATGGTATTGAGGCTAGTAGATTTTCTTCTGTGTCTGGGCGTTTAAGAGTTTGGTATTTACTGTAGTCTTCACTATCTGGGCTTGTTTGTACTTGTTTTTCTTGGTGATACTTACCAGATATTTGAAAACACTTGAGTGTTATTATCTAAGCTTTATCTGCTTTAGATAGCACCACATTCCCAGTAATGCTGTGTTTTTTTGCAGATTCATAGAGGTACTGCCTTGATGGTCTTAAACAAGACCTGAAAAATTCTATGGTTTATCAGGTGGATAGTCGTGTTCTATTCCCTTTATTTCTCCCAAACAAACAAAGCCTCTATCTCTATGGTGAGCCACTTAAGGCTGAGGGTGGAGTAACACAAGCACTCCTGTGGTCACCACCTCTGTGACTGCACTGGGTCAGAGCTGAAGCCAACAGAGTACTGAGTCTAACTCAAGGCCTTCTGTAACCACTTCCTGGTTACTGCGTACTTTGCTCAAGGTCTTGGGGCTCTACAATCGCCAGCTGGCAAAGCCAGCCTGGCCTGTGTCTTTCCATTTAGGATAGCGAGTACCCCAAGGCCCTGGGTGGGTACAGAGATGCCTACCTTGGGTCAGGTCATAGAGACAAAATCCTTAGAAGTATATCTAATTTTCTATTGTACTGCAGCCAAGCTAGAACTCAAATAACATGATGTGATCCTTCCCACTCTTCCCCCACCTTTTCAAAGGCAGAGGGTCTTTACCCCATAGCCACTGCTACCATTTGCCACAAGGAACTCTGCCAGACTACGACCTTATCTTGCTTCACCCACCTTTAAATCTTGCCCAGACACTGGGGTCCAATTGAGTGGGGAGGGTGGGAGGAGTGAGAAAAGCAGAAAAAATAACTATTGCATACTGGACTTAATACTTGGGAGATAAAATAGGTACAGTAAGCCCCCATGACACGTGTTTACCTATGTAACAAACCTTCACATGTACCTCCAAACATATAATAAATGTTAAAAATAAATAAATAAATAAATAAATAAATAAATAAATAGATAGATAGATACTGGCCATTGTGAACAGTGCTGCAATAAACATAAGGATACTGATATCTTTTTGACATACTGATTTTATTTCCTCTGAATAAGTATCCAGTAATGTAATTAAAAGATAAAATAGTAGTTCAATCTTTTGTTTTTTTTTTAAGGAACCTCCATGGATTTTTGCTTTAACTTACATTCCCATGAACAATGTACAAGTTCCCTTTTCTCCACATTCTCAACAGCATTTATTACCTGTGTTTGGGAAAAAAGCCATTTTTTACTGAGGTGAGAAGATATCTCATTGCAGTTTTGATTTGCATTTCTGTGATGATCAATGATGTTGAGCACCTTTTTATATTTCTGTTTGTCTTTTGTATTTCTTCTTCTGAGAAGTATCAATTCATATCTTTTGTCCATTTTTAAGTGGATAGTTAGAATTTTCTATAGAGTTGTTTGAGCTCCTTATGTCTTTTCTCTCATTCTTTGGTCGTCTCTTTACTTCTTTGATTGTTTATATTGCTGTGCAGAAGCTTTTTAACTTGATGTGATTTAATTTGTCAATTTATTTGGTTGCCTATGCTTTGGGGGTATTATTGAATAAGTCTTTGCCCAGACCAGTTTTCTGGAGAGTTTACCCAATGTCTTCTTTTAGTAATTTCATAGTCTGAGGTCTTAGATTTAGGTATTAACTAATTTTGATTGTTTTTTGTGTATGTTGGGAGTCACTGGTAAGTTTCACTCTTTTGCGTACGATATCCAGTTTTCCCAGCACCATTAATTGAAGAAACTGTCATTTTCCCATTGCATGACTTTGGCACCTTTTTTGAAAATTACTTTATGGTAGATGTGTGGACTTATTTATGAGTTCTCTATTCTGTATTGTGTTCCATTGGTCTATGTGTCTATTTTTATTCCAGTACAATGCTATGTTGGTTACTAGAGTTCTGTAGTATAATTTGAAGTCCAGTAATGTGGTTTCTCCAGTTTTTGTTATTTTATTTTATTTTATTTTTGCCCAAAATGGCTTTGGCTATTGTAGGACATTTGTGGTTTTATATAAACATTAGGAGTTTAAAAATTTTTATGAAGAATGTCATTAGTATTTTGATAAGGGTTTGCTTAAATCTGTAGATTGTTTAGGGTAGTATGGACATTCTAACAATATTAATTCTTCCTGTTCATGAACATAAAATATCTTTCCAATTTTTTTGTTTCATCTTCAATTTCCTGCATCAATGTTTTATAGTTTTAATTGTAGAGATCAGTCACCTGTTTAGTTAAGTTTATTTCTGGTTATCTTATTTTGTTTGTATCTATTGTAAATGGAATTTTTTAAAATTTATTTTTCAGATTGCTTTCTGTTGGCATATTAAAATGCTACTGATTTTTTATGCTAATTTTGTATCTTACAACTTTACTGAATTTATTCTAATAGTTTTTTGGTGAATTATCTAAATTTCTACAAACATAAGATTATATAATTTGTAAACAAGAAACATTTTACTTCCTCCTTTCCAATTTCGATGTCCTGCACTTCTTTCTCTTAACTGGTTGTCCAAGCTAGGGCTTCCAGTACTGTGTTGAATAACAGTGGTGAAATGGGTCACCCTTGTCTTGTTTCAGATCTTAGAAAAAAGGCTTTCAGTTTTTTTTCCCCTCATTTAGTGTGATACCAGCACTGGGTCTTTCATATATGGCTTTATTGGTGGTGGGGTGTGTTCCTTCTATATCCAGTTTTTGGATGGTTTTTATTATGAAGAAGTGTTGAATTTTATCAAACAATTTTTTCAGCACCTGTTGAAAATGATTGAAAACAAAAATCATATGATTTTTATCCCTTCTTTTTTTTATATACTGTATCACATTGATTGATTTGCATTGTGTGATAAATCTCACTTGGTCATCACGAATTATCTTTTTAATGTGTTGTTGAATTCTGATTATTAGTGTTTTTCTGAGAATGTTTGCATCAATATTCATCAGAGATATTTTTGTTTTTTTTTTTTCAATGAGTCTTTGTCTAATTTCGGTAGCAGGATAATAATGACCTAATGACCCCTAAGAAACTTTGAAAGTGTTTTATCCTCCTCTATTTTTTTAAGAATAGTTTGAGAAAAATTTGTATTAGTTCTTTAAATGTTTGATAATAATTATCCATTAAATCATTAGGTTCTCAACTTTATGTTGCTGGAAGAAGTTTTTCTTAATCCTTTTTTTCTTCTAATTTTAAGTTCAGGGGTACATGTTCAGGATATGCAGGTTCGTTATACACGTAAACGTGTGCCATGGTGGTTTGCTGCACAGATCATCTCATCAACCAGTTATTAAGCCCAGCATCCATTAGCTATTCTTTCTGATGTTCTCCCTCCCCCCAACACCCCCAAAATCCCCATCGTATGTTGTTCCCCCCACCATGTGTCCATCCATGTGTTCTCATCATTCAGCTCCCACTTATAAGTGAGAACATATGGTGTTTTGTTTTCTGTTCCTATGTTAGTTTGCTGAGGATAATGGCTTCCAACTCAATCCATGTCCCTGCAATGGACATGATCTCATTTCTTTTTATGTCTTCACAGTATTCCATGGTGTGTATGTACCACATTTTCTTTATCCAGTCTATTATTGATGGGCATTTAGTTTGATTCCATGTCTTTGCTACTGTAACTAGTGCTGCAATGAACATACATGTGCATGTATATTTATAATAGAATAATTTATATTCCTTTGGGTATATTCCAAGTAATGGGTTTGCTGGGTCAAATGATTTTTTCTGGTTCTAGATCCTTGAAAAATCACCACACTGTCTTCCACAATGATTGAACTAATTTACATACTTATCAACGGTGTAAAAGTGTTTCTTCTTCTTCTTCACAACCTTGCCTGCATCTGTTGTTTTTTTGACTTTTTAATGATCACTGTTCTGACTGGCATGAGATGGTATCTCATTTTGGTTTTGAATTTCGTTTCTTTAATGATCAATGATGTTGAGCTTTTTTTCATGTTTGTTGGCCGCATAAATGTCTTCTTTTGAGAAGTGTCTGCTCATGTCTTTTGTCCACTTTTTAATGGGGTTCTTTCTATTTTAATTGTAAATTTGTCTAAGTTTAGATTCTAGATATTAGACCTTAGTCAGATGGATAGGTTGCAAAAATTTTCACCCATTTTGTAGATTGTCTATTCACTCTGATGAGAGTTTCTTTTGCTGTGCAGAAGCTTTTTAGTATAATTAGATCCCATTTGTCAATTTTTGTTTTTATTGCAATTGCGTTTGTTGATTTCATCATAAAATCTTTGCCTGTGCCTATGTCCTGAATGGTATTGCCTAGATTTTCTTCTCGGGCTTTTATAGCCTTGGATTTTGCATTTAAGTTTTTAATTCATTTTGGTTCATTTTTGTGTATGGTTTAAGGGAGGGGTCCAGTTTCAATTTTCTACTCATGCCTAGCCAGCACTCCCAGCTCCATAAATACAAAGTCATTTCCCTATTTTTTGTTTTTGTTAGGTTTGTTGAATATCAGATGTTTGTAGGTGTATCGCCTTACTTCTGAAATATCTATCCTGTTACATTTGTCCATGTATCTGTTTTTGGACAAGTACCATGCTGTTTTAGTTACTATACCCTTGTAGTATAGTCCGAAGTTGGGTAGTGTGATGCCTCCAACTTTGTCCTTTTTGCTTAGAATTGTCTTGGCTATTTGGTCTCTTTTTTGGGTCCATATGAATTTCAAAATAGTTTCTTCTAATTCCGTGAAGAATGTCAATGATAGTCTAATGAGAAGCATTCAATCTATAAATTACTTTGGTCAGTATGGCCATTTTCATGATATTGATTCTTCTTATCCATGAGCATGGGATGTTTCTTCATTTGTTTCTGTCTTCTCTGATTTCTTTGATCAGTGGTTTATAATTCTCCTTAAAGAGGTCCTTCACCTCCATGGTTAGCTGTATTCCTAGGTATTTTATTATTTTTGTAGCAATTGTGAATGGAATTTTAATTGTTATGTGGCTCTCTGCTTGCCTTTTTTGGTTTATAGAAATGCTGGTGATTTTTGCAGAGTAATTTTATATGCTGAGATTTTGCTGAAGTTGTTTATCAGCTTAAGAAGCTTCTAGACTGAGACAATGGGGTTTTCTAGATATAGGATTATGTCATCTGCAAAAAAAGATAATTTTGACTTTCTCCCTTTCCTTTTATAAAATGGCATTGACCTAATATCTATTTATTTTATTTTATTTTATTTTATTTTTATTTTATTTTACTTTAAGTTCTGGGATACATGTGCAGAACGTGCAGGTTTGTTACATAGGTATACATGTGCCATGGTGGTTTGCTGCACCTTTCAACCTGTCATCTAGATTTTCTCCCTTTCTAATTAAATACCCTTTATTTCTTTTTCTTGCCTGATTGCCCTGGCCAGAATTTTCAATATGATTTTGAATAGGAGTGGTGAGAGGGGACATCCTTGTCTTGTGCCAGTTTTCAAGGGGAATGCCTCCAGCTTTTGCTCGTTCAGTATAATATTGGCTGTGGATTTGTCATATATGTCTCATTATTTTGAGGTATGTTCCTTCAATACTTAGTTTATTGAGAGTTTTTAACACAAAAGGATGTTTTATTTTATCAAAGGCATTTTCTGCATCTATTGAGATAATCATGTGGTTTTTGTCTTTAGTTCAGTTTATGTGATGAATCACATTTATTGATTTGAATATAGTGAACCAAATTTGCATACCAGGGATGAGGCCAACTTGATCATGGTGAATAAGCTTTTTGATGTGCTACTGAATTTGGTTTGCCAAAATTTTATTGAAAAGTTTTGCATGAATATTCATTAAGGATATTGGCCTAAAGTTTTCTTTTCTTTTCTTTCCTTTTCTTTTCTTTTCTTTTCTTTTGTATCTCTGCCAGATTTTGATATCAGGATGATGTTGGCTACATAGAATGAGCTATGGAGGTGTCTCTTCTTTTCAATTTTTTTAGAATAGTTTCAGTAGAAATGGTACCAGCTCTTTTTTTTTTACTTTTAGTAGAATTCAGTTGTGAATTTATCTGTTTCTGGACTTTTATTTGTTGATAGGCAATTTTTTACTGCCTCAATTTCAGAACTCATTATTGGTCTAGTCAGGGATTCAATTTCTTCCTGGTTCACTCTAGAGAAGGTATATGCATCCAGGAATTTATCTGTTTCATCTAGATTTTCTAGATTGTGTGCATAGTCATGTTTATAGTATTTGCTTATGGTTGTTTGTATTTTTGTGGAATCAGTGGTAATATCCACTTTATCATTTCTGATTGTATTTATTTGATTCTTCTCTCTTTTCATTTTTGTTAGTTTAGCTAGCAACCTAGCAACCTTATTAATTTTTTTCAAAAAGTCAGCTTCTGAATTCACTGATTTTTTGAAAGTCTTTTTGCATCTTTATATCTTCTTCAGTTCAGCTCTGATATTGGTTACTTCTTGTCTTCTGCTAGCTTTGGGGTTTGTTTGCTTTTGCTTCTGTAATTCTTTTAGTTGTGATATTAGGTTGTTAACTTGAGATCTTTCTAGCTTTTTGATTTGGTCATTTAGTGCTATAAATTTCCCACTTAACACTGCATTAGCTGTGTCCCAGAAATTCTGGTATGTTTGTTATCTCTTTGTTCTCATTAGTTTCAAGTAACTTTTTGATTTCTACCTTAATTTCATTTTTACCCAGAAGTCATTAGGAGCAGGTTGTTCAATTTCTATGTAGTTGTATGGTTTTGAGTGAATTTCTCAATCTTAAATTCTAATTTGATTGCACTGTGGTCTGAGAGACTGTTATAATTCATTTTTTTTTGTATTTGCTAAAGAGTGCCTTACCTATGATTATGTGATCAATTTTAGTGTAAGCTATGTGGCAATGAGAAGAATGTATATTCTGTTAAATTTGGGTGGAGAGTTCTGTAGATATCACTCAGGTCCACATGATCCAGAGCTCAGTTAAGGTCTTGAATAACTTTGTTAATTTTCTGCCTCAATGATTTGTCTAATATTGTCAGTGGGGATTTAAAGTTTACTATTATTATTGTTTGAAAGTTTAAGTCTCTTTGTAGGTCTCTAAGAATGTGCTTTATGAATCTGTGTTTTCTTGTATTGGGCGCACATATGTTTAGGATAGTTAGCCCTTCCTGTTGAATTGAACCCTTTACCATTATGTAATGTCCTTCTTCCTGCTTGTTGATGTTTGTTGGATTAAAGCCTGTTCTGTCAGAAACTAGCATGGCAACCCTTGCTTTTTTTGTTTTCCATTTGCTTGGTAAATTTTCCTCAATTCTTTTTTATGTTGAGCCTATGTGTGTCTTTGCACATGAGTTGGGTCTCTTGAAGACAGCATACTGATGGGTATTGGCTTTTTATCCAGCTTGCCATTCTGTCTTTTAATTGGGACATTTAGCCCATTTACATCTGAGGTTAGTGTTGTTATGTGGAAATTTAATCCTGTCTTCATGATGCTAGCTGGTTATTTTGCAGATTTGTTTATGTGGATATTTCATAGTGTCACTTGTTTGTGTCCTTCAGTTTGTTTTTGTAGTAGCTGGTAATGGATTTTCCTTTCCATATTTAGTGCTTCCTTCAGGAGCTTTTGCAAAGCAGGCCTGAGGGTGATGATTTCCCTAAGCATTTGAATATTTGAGAAATTTCTTATTTCTCCTTCACTCATGAAGCTTAGTTTTGCTGGATATGAAATTCTGGGTAAAAAATTCATTTTTTAAGAATATCAGATATTGGCCTCCAATGTCTTCTGGCTTGCAGAGTTTCTGCTGAGAGTTCCACGGTTATACTGATGGGTTTCCCTTTGTAAATGACCTGCCCTTTCTCTCTGGCTGCCTTAATATTTTTTCTTTTATTTTGACCTTAGAGAATCTGATGATGAGGTGTCTTGTGGCTTATCTTCTTGTGGGGTATCTTATTTATATTCTTTGGATTTCTGGAATTTGAATGTTGACCTGTCTTGCTATTATAGGTTGGGGAAGTTCTCCTGGATGATACCCTGAAGGATATTTTTCTTTCTTTTTTTTAAATTATTATTATACTTCAAGTTTTAAGGTACATGTACACAATGTGCAGGTTTTTTACATATGTATACATGTGCCATGCTGGTGTGCTGCACCCATTAACTCGTCATTTAGCATTAGGTATATCTCCTAATGCTATCCCTCCCCCATCCCCCCACCCCACAACAGTTCCCAGAGTGTGATGTTCCCCTTCCCGTGATATTTTTCAACTTGATTCCATTCTTCTTATCTCTTTCAGTTACCCCAATCAGTCATAGATTTGGCCTCTTTACATAGTCGCATATTTCTCAGAGGTTTTATTCTTCTTCTTATTTTTTCTCTATTCTTCTCTGTGTGTCTTATTTCACAAACATAGATTTCAAGCTCTGAGATTATTTTCTCTGCTTTGTCTAGTCTACTATTGATACTTGTGAAGTTCTCATGTTGTGTTTTTCCACTCCATTAGGTCAGTTAGGTTCCTTTCAAAACTGGCTATTCTGGCTACCAGATCCTGTATTGTTTTGTCATGATTCTTGCTTCTTTGCGCTGGGTAACAACATGCTCCTTTAGCTCAGCAAAGTTTGTTATCACCCACCTTCTGAAGCCTACTTCTCTCAATTCAGCCATCTCAGCCTCAGCCTAGTTCTGTGCCCTTGCTGTGGAGGTGTTGAGGTCATTTGGAGAAGAGACACTCTGGCTTTTTGAGTTTTCAGTCTTTTACATTGATCCTTTCTTATATTTGTAGGCTTATTTACCTTCGATCTTTGAGGTTGCTGACCTTTGAATAAGGTTTTTGCAAGGTCTTTTTGTTTATGTTGCTGTTGTCATTGCTTTCTGTTTGTTTGTTTTTCTTTTAACCATCAGACCAATCTACCATAGGGCTGCTGCAGGTTTCTGGAATTCAACTCCAGATTCCAGTTGCCTCAGTTTTTTCCATACCTGTATCACCAGTAAATCCTGCAAAACAACAAAGATGGCACAACCAGCTTTTTCCTCTGGAATCTTTATTTAGCGGGGGACTGAGCTATAGTAGGTGGCAGGAGACCCACACTGGGAGGCCTTACCCAGTTAGAAGAAATGGGATCAGGGACCTGCCCAAAGAATCAGTCTGGATCTTTTTTGTTAAAGCAGATGTACTGCATTCTGCGGAACCCTTTTTCTGTCTAGACTGCCTGAATTCTTCATAGCCAGCAGGCTGGAGCATCTGGGTTGATCAAACAACAAAGATGGTAGCAGCCTCTATCCCTGGTAGATCCATCCCAGGCAGAGATCAGAGTTTGGTCCGTAGAAACCTTGTTGGAGTGGCTGAAACCCCTGTAAAGAGGTCCTGCCCAGTGAGGAGGAATGGATTGGGGTCCTGCTTAAAGAAGCAGTCTGGTCACAATTTGGCAAGGCAGCTGTGCTGAGACATCTTGTTATGGCTTCAATCTCATTACTTGCTATTGATCTATTCTGGTGTTGAATTACTTCATAGAGGTTGGTAGTTTATATGTGTCTAATAACTTACCCATTTTGTCTGAGATTTCCAATTTATTGGCATATAATTTCTAATCACAGTTTTTAATGATCCTTTGAATTTCTGCAATATTAGTTGTAATGTCTCCTTTTTTCATCACTGATCTTACTTGAGTTTGCTCTGTTTTTGCTCTCTTCAAGGAGAACTACACACCATTGCTCAAGGAAATAAGAGAGGACACAAACAAATGGAAAAACATTCCATTCTCATAGGAAGAATCAATATAGTGAAAATGATCATACTGCCCAAAGTAATCTATAGATTCAATGCTGTCCCCATTAAGCTACCACTGACTTTCTTCACAGAATTAGAAAAAAACAACTTTAAATTTCATATGGAACCAAAAAGGTGCCCATATAGCCAGCACAATCCTAAGCAAAAAGAACAAGGCTGGAAGCATCATGCTACCTGACTTCAAACTATACTACAAGGCTGCAGTAACCAAAACAGCATGGTACTGGTACCAAAACAAACATATAGACCAAAGGAAAAAAGCAGAGGCCTCAGAAATAACACCACACACCTAAAACCATCTGATCTTTAGCAAAGCTGACAAAAACAAGCAATGGGGAAAGGATTCTCTATTTAATAAATGGCGTTGGGAAAACTGGATAGCCATATGCAGAAAAATAAAATTAGACCCCTTCCTTACACCTTATACAAAAATCAACTCAAGATGGATCAAAGATTTAAACATAAGACCTAAAATCATAGAAACCATAGAAGAAAACCTAGGCAATACCATTCAGGACATAGGCATGGGCAAAGACTTCATGACTAAAACACCAAAAGCAATGGCAACAAAAGCCAAAAGAAACTATTATCAGAGTGAACAGGCAACCTAGAGAATGGGAGAAAAGTTTTGCAATCTATCCACCTCACAAAGGTCTAATATCCAGAATCTACAAGGAACTTAAGCAAATTTATGAGAAAAAAGCAAACAACTCGATCAAAATGTGGGCAAATGATATAAACAGACACTTCTCAAAAGAAGACTTTTATGCAGCCAACAAACATATGAAAAAAATCTCATCACCGGTTATTAATGAAATGCAAATCAAAACCACAATGAGATAACATTTCATGCCAGTTAGAATGGCGATCATTAAAAAGTCAGGAAGCAACAGATGCTGGAGAGGATGTGGAGAAATAGGAACGTTTTTCCACTTTTGGTGGCAGTGTAAATTAGTTCAACCATTTGGAATATAGTGTGGCAATTCCTCAAGGATCTAGAACCAGAAATACCATTTGACTCAGCAATCCCATTACTGGGTATATACCCAAAGGATTATAAATCATTCTACTATGAAGACACATGCACACGTATGTTTATTGCAGCACTACTCACAATAGCAAAGACTTGGAACCAACCCAAATGCCCATCAATGATAGACTGGATAAAGAAAATGTGGCACATATACACCATGAAATACTCTGCAGCCATAAAAAAGAATGAGTTCATTTCCTTTGTGGGGACATGGATGAAGCTGGAAACCATCATTCTCAACAAACTAACACAGGAAAGAAAACCAAACACTGCATGTTCTCACTTATAAATGGGAGTTGAACAGTGAGAACACATGAATACAGGGAGGGGAACATCACACACTGGGGCCTGTGAGGGGGTGGAGGGCTAGGGGAGGGATAGCATTAGGAGAAATACCTAATGTTGATGACTGGTTGATGGGTGCAGCAAACCACCATGGCACATGTACACCTATGTAACAAACCTGCACGTTCTGCACATGTATCCCAGAGCTCACAGTATAATAATAAAAAATAAACAAATAAAAAGTAGCTATAATATGATAACCCTAAAAAATAGCCCATATAATGATCAAAATATGAGTTAAGAGATGACAAGCCAAGGCCGGGCATGGTAGCTCACACCTGTAATCCCAGTACTTTGGGAGGCCTAGGCGGTTGGATCAGGAAGTCAGGAGATGGAGACCATCCTGGCTAACATGGTGAAACCCCATCTCTACTAAAAATACAAAAAATTAGCTGGGTGTGGTGGCAGGCGCCTGTCGTCCCAGCTACTGGGGAGGCTGAGGCAGGAGAATGACATGAACCCAGGAGGCTGAGCTTGCAGTGAGCCGAGATCACGCCACTGCAATCCAGCCTGGGTGACAGAGCGAGATTCTGCGTCAAAATAAATAAATAAATAAATAAATAAATAAATAAATAAATAAGAGATGGCAAGCCACTTTGGATTGGAGTGACCATGGAAAAGCTAAGTACTGAGTGTCTTATATAAAAAAAACAGTAATAGCAGATCAAAAGGAGAAGAGGTTAATGTTGGCTATACAAGTTCTGTGCAAGGAACTGAATGGAGGAAAAAAGAAGGTATGTTCTTGAGGATTAATAGCATTGTGCTATTTTACCAGGCCAGCCCCCTCAGGCTACTCACCACTATTGTGTGTGACAGGCGATGTTCTAATCATTTTATAGGTATTGTCTCATTTAGTCCTCACAAAGACCATACATGAAAGGTACAATTATCACATTCATTTTATGGATAAGCTAAATGACAAACAGAAAAGTAATTTGCCCAAGGTCACATAGCTATTGGCAAGATTTCAAAACCAGGTACTTTGAATGCAGAGCTCACATTTATAGCCATAACATTCTATTTACATTTGACATTTTACAAAGAGACTATGAACTTTCTTGACTTAGAAACTTTGCAAAAAATGTTTTATTTTATTTGAATGCCCATTTTCACAATCTCCTCCTGTAGAGAAGTTCAATTGCTTCTTCAAGGCTCTTTTCAAAACTGAAAAATAAACATTTTTCATATACTTGAATGATATCTAATTCTTCCCTTGTTTTTATGATCATAGTGCATAATTTAACTTGTATACCTGTTTTATGCCATAGTTTCTTCTTACGTAAAATAAGGATTAAAATTAGAACCTGACTCATAGGGTAGCTGTGAGGATAAAATTTAAAAAATGCATGCAAAAAGCTCAACAATTTACTTGATGTATCCTAAGCTATTAGCAATTAATAAGAAATCGTCATGGGTATTTAATATTTTAAGATAGCCATGCATTAAAATTGTATATATACATATGTGCATACACATTTCCATCTCTCACTTGCTTGTAAGTTTTTGTTGGGCATAGTAAAGTTTTTTTTCCCTTATCTTTTCTAATAAAATTATTTGTATATAACAGGTCCTCAATAAGTATGTGGAATTGAATTACATGTTACAGCAAATTTGAATTATTATGGAAGACAGTAGTGATAAAATCTTATAGTATTTAAGCCTGCTGAAAAATACAACTCAGTATCATTTCAACAGAAAAAACTATACCAAGATAAAATAATTTCTATTCAAATAAATAAAGAATATTTCTATTTATTGATAATCACATTACTTCTGGCAAAAAATCTATGCAATCAAGAATAAAAATATATTCAAATAACATTTTTTTCATATTGCTGCTTTTGCACAATCAATAAACTTTCTTTTTCCTATTTCCTCATAAAGTACTATTTTTCCTCATGAGTTGCACCTCTAGAGGCATTAAAAGTATTGTTGAACATATATTACACAGATGAGCTATGGTCATGTAAGGTATTTTGAAACCTGGGTCTTTGAAAAATTAATTTTCCTCCTGTGTTAACATTATCATTTTGATGAATCATCTGTAGGTTAATCATTGAGCAGCCAGATATAGTTAGGACTGATGTTGAGAACAACCTTATAATGAATAGAACTGAACCTTCAGTGGGCAAGTGACTGATGGGTAATTATGCTTTGGATATTTAGAAAAAATATATATACATGTAGCTTAACATTGGTCACTTTAGTGCACTGTACAGAATTGGCATTTGTCCCAGGTTCAGACAAACCTTCGAAGTAAAGAATGGTTATAACCCACAGTTCTTTTCATTAGCTTATTGATTTTCCTCTTAAAACTAAATTTAATTCATTTAAAGTGCAGTAACCAGGAAGATTAAAAAATCACAATGAAGATCAAAGACTAAAATTTGAACCCCAAAGAAAACTTTTTTGAGGTAGTAGATAGGGATTTAATTAGTATCTGGAGAAGACATTATGCTGCTTACAAGTTTTTTTCTTGTTTGAACTTTAAATATATTTTGAGCAAGGAATCTGTAGAAATTATTGTCACCACACTTGGTAAAGACATATTTGTTGCAATTATATGATTCACATTTAATAAAATGCTTTAGATAGTAGATCGTATGTATCAAATAATATTAGCTTATGATATTTAATTGTCTATAGAATACAGCTAGCTCCCGGGAGGCTAATTTGTTTGCATTAGTTGGTCAGGTCAACTGCTTCAAAAACACAGATTCTAGAAGTACTGGTAGATTGCATTACACCATTTAAATAAATGGTGGCAATTTGTCAATGTCATCTTAGCTTTAACATTTTCTTTGAAACACTAGGAAACACTAATTTTGACTAAAATGACCTTTTCTTTTTTAGAATGTGATGACCTGAATCTTCTTGTTCTTAGTAGATAATGCTTATATGTTTTTTATAAATTATTCTTATTAAGCATATTTTTAAATAGCGGAATAAGAAAACTGTGGAAACAGTAGAATTTATTGATGAAATACAAACTATATTAAATGCTCAAAATAATGGATTACAGTGATATGGCCTAACAGTTAGAAAAAATATTTTTTACAGTAATTTTGATAACTTGATTTAGCATCACTCTGAAAAGAACTCTAAGACTACACATATTCCCCCATTCAACATTTATCTCATAGTCAAAGTTTTTTTTTTCAGTTGTTTTATTTCAGTTTTGGTTTTCATTATTATTTAAGAATTCTACTGTTAATACTATCTACTAGAATGTCAATGTTTAGTTCACTTATTAAGACCATCCAAAATAAAACAGTACTATAAAAGGCTCAAAAAAGCCAAGGAGTTGGAGTGACATTAAGCAGAGAGGACAAGGTAAAAAGATTGGGATTCATTAGTCTGAAAAGATGAGTGCTGATAAGGGAAGTGATCAAAGTCCACAAACCAATAAAAGAAACATTGAGAAAAAAAACCAGAATATTTCCCCAACCAAATCCTGTTAAAGTATAATGAAAAATCTTATTTTACTACTTGAAATGGGATATCTAGGAAAAATGGAAATAATTCTTACTTTACCTAATAGAAAAAAATTATGAGACTTCTTGTATTGAGATGTAATTATAGGCTGAGAAAATAATTTCTAAAGGTTCTCTGTTAAGTAGTAATTGGGAGTGCATGCCCAGGAATTAAGAATCATGTTTAAGGCCTGGATTAGTTCCTTCTCACACTGCTATAAAGAAATATCTGATACTGGGCAATTTATAAAGACCAGAGGTTTAATTGGCTCACAGTTGCACAGGCTGTACAGAAAGCCTGATGCTGACCATCCGTTTGGCTTCTGGGCAAGTCTCAGGAAAGGCACAATCATGGTAGAAAGCAAAGGGGGAGCGAGTCACTTCACATGTCCAGAGCAAGAGAAAGTGAGAATGACAGGGGAGGTGCTGCACACTTTTAAACAACAAGATCTACTGAGAACTCACTCACTATACAGTACCAAGTGAGATGGTACTAAAATATTCATGAGAACTCTGACAACCTAATTCAATCACTTCCCTCCAGGCCTCACCTCCAACATGGGATTGCAATTCAACCTGAGATTTGGCTGAGAACATAGATCCAAACCTTACATTTCTGCCCCTGGCCCCTTCCAAATCTCATGAACTTTTTACGTTTGAAAATACAACAATGGCTTCCCAACAGTCCTCCAATGTCTTAACTCAAAAGTCTAAAGTCCAAAGTCTCATCTGAGATAAAGCTAGTCTCCTCTGCCTATGGGCCTGTAAAATCAAAAACATGTTAGTTACTTCCAAGATACAATGAGGGTATAGGAATTGGGTAAATAATCCCCTTCCAAAAGAGGTAAATTGGCCAAAAGAAAGGGGCTACAGGCCCTGTGCAAGTCTGAAGCCCTGAAAGGCAGTCATTAAATCTAAAAGCTCCAAAATAATCTCCTTTGACTCCATGTGTCACACTCAAGACACACTGGTGCAAGGGGTAGGCTCCCAAGTCATTGGACAGCTGTGGATTTATAGGGGTAAGCCCTGGTGGCTGCTCTCAGGCCTGGCATTATGTGCCTGTGGCTTTTCCAGGTACAGTGTGCAAGCTGCCAGTGGATCTACCATTCTGGGGTCTAGAGGATGGTGGCCCTCTTCTCATAACTCTACTATGAAGTGCCCCAGTGGGAACTCTGTGGGTGCTCCAACCCCACATTTCCCCTCTGCAATGCCCTAGTAGAGGTTCTTCATCAGGGATCCACCTCTGTAGCAGGCTTCTGCCCAGGCATTCAGGCTTTTCCTTACATCTTCTGAAATCTAGGTAAAGGCTCCCAAGATCAGCTCTTGCATTCTGTGCACCCACAGGCTCAACACCATGAGAGAACTGCCAAGGCTTACAATTTGCACCCTCTGAAGCAGGAGCCCTAGATATACCTGGGCCCCTTTGAGCCACAGCTGGACCTGGAACAGTCGGGATGTGAGAAACAGTGTCCTGAGGCTGCAAAGGGCAGAGGGGCCCTGGACCCAGCCCACAGAACCATTCTTCTATCCTAAACCTCCAGGCCTGTGATTGGAGGGCTGCTACAAAGGTCACTGTATTACCTTTGAAGCACTTGGCTTCTTTTTCTTTACGCAAATTTCTGTAGCCACCTTCCATTCCTCCCCAGAGAATTGTTTTTTCTTTTCTGCCACATGGGCAGGCTGCAAAGTTTTCAAACTTTTATGCTTTGTTTTCCTTTTAAATATAAGTTCCAGCTTCAAGTTATTTCTTTGCTCATGCATATGAAAATAGGCTGTTGGAAGCATCCAGGTCACTCTTGAACACTTTGCTGCTTAGAAATTTCTTCTGTCAGGTACCCTAAATCATCTCTCGCCAGTTCAAAATTCCACAGGTCTCTTAGAATAGGCACACAAAGTCACCAGTCTCTTTGATAAAGCATAGCAAAAGTGACCTTTACTTTAGTTTCCAATAAGTTCCTCATTTCCATCTGAGACCACCTCAGCCTGGCTATCTCTGTCCATATCAGTATCAGCATTTTGGTAAAAACCATTCAAAAAGCCTCTAGGAAATTCCAAACTTTCCCTCATCTTCCTGTCTTCTTCTGAACCCTCCAACGTGTTCCAACCTCTGCTTGTTATGCAGTTCCAAAGCTGCTTCCACATTTCCAGGTATCTTTATAGCAATGCCCCACTCCTAGTACCAATTTTCTGTACTGGTTAATTCTCTCACTGCTATAAAAAAAATAGCCAAGACTAGATAATTTCTAAAGAAAACAGGTTTAATTGGCTCATGGTTCTGCAGGCTGTATAGAAAGCATAATTCTGGCCATCTGCTCAGTTTCAGGGGAGGCCTCAGGAAATGTACAATCATGGTGGAAGGCAAAGGGGAGGTGAGTCACTTCACATGGCCAGAGCAGGAAGAACACAGTATGAGAGGGGAGGTACTACACACTTTTAAACAACCAGATCTCATGAGAACTCACTCGCTATACAGTACCAAGGAGGTTGGTACTAAACCATTCATAAGACATTTGCCCCCGAATTCAATCAGCTCCTTCCAGGCCCCACCTCCAACACTGGGGATTGCAATTCAACCTGAGATTTGGTTGGGACACAGATCCAAACTACATCAAGATTTGTCTTATGTGTTCTTTTAACATGTATTTTCAGCATGCTTTGTATATGCCAGGCACTAGATATAGAATAATAAGTAAAACATCTGAACAATAAGTAAACCTATCATAAAGCTGATAATCCAATAGAAGAGACAAAAATTTAATAAATAATCACCCAATTAATGTAAATTAATAGTTTTCAAGTCATTTTAAATTTGGAGGAGGAAAATACAAGTTTCTGTTATTATGAGAGTAAAATAGTGGTGATGAGTTAGAACTGAGAGTTAGAGTTGAGTCAAGGAATACTTAAGCTGTGACTTGAAAAATGAGTAGAACTAAATCTAGGCAGAGAAGTCAAGGGAAGCATTCCAGGCATAGGAACATGTTTGTAAAGTCCTAATATGAATAAGAAGTGGTTGGTTGTGGTGGACCTGAGAGAAGGCCATTGTAACATGAAAAAGGAAGTGAGTGACATAACAGAAAGATGCAAGAATGGTCTGGGTTAATTTGTATAGGTTATTTAATTATTTTATAAGTAAGAATCATTTTTCATTAATAAAAACTGGCAATAGTAGTACTGAATTCTCACAGTTGTTTGTGTGAAGTAGATTAGATCAAGCACTTCTCCGAGTGCCTTGCAAATGATTGCTCAAGAAATGTTAAGTTTAGCTATCATTATAAATATTTGACAAGCAATGTAGCCTAATAATTCCATCTTGTGGTCATGTATAACTGGAAATTAATTTACTCTACTCTCAGGTAAACTTGAGTAAATTATTTAGCCTCTTATAGACTCAGTTTCTTATCTGTAACATAAGGATAGTAATAGTATCTATCTCATGAGCTAGTTTTGAGAATGAATTGAGATAAAATGAGCTGGCACACAGTAAATGTCAAATAAATGTTAGCCATTATAGGAAACTAGCAACCAACTGAAGATGTCTGGGAAACACTTTAAAATTTGAAATTATTATCAAAGAGAACAACTCTGACCTTCAACACCTTATCTCTTGGAACTCAAAGCTTGAAATAAATCATGAGGCTTACACAAATGCCTTTTGTCAAGGGAGGAGGGAAGTATGTTGGAAACCCCTACACTGATGCCATTGATAATTGTAGAATATGTCTCCTCATTCATTCATTGATTCATTCATTCATTTACCTTTACTGAACACCTACTATCTGGCAAGGACTGCACTAAATTCTGGGAATGCTGAAACAAACACCATGTCATCTCTACCTTCAAGGAGATAGTATTATAGAAGTATTTACACTGTATAGGGCAGTAAGGAAGGAAGCAAATAATTTTACCTGAGAACATGGTCAGGAATGTTTTCATGGAAGAGTTGAGCATTTCCATTCTAGCAAAAATGCATGAGGAAGCATTGGTGAGGCATTGATTAGGAGTATGGTATTGCTTGATTTGACTAACTTTCTGGCCTTTGACCTGAACTCTAGAGAAATTTTACAGTTACTCTGGGAACTGAAGTGTTACTAAATGGTAGAACAGCTCATAGCACTATTCAAATACTATGTGACTATCAGAGTACAAAGATACTGCAGCACTGAAAATTAATTACCTTATCTAGCTGCTTGACCCAGAGTATGTTACTTATCCTCCTTTTATCTCAGTTTTTACTTTTGAAAAATAAGGATATTGATATGAATAATATCTCAGAGGGTGGGTGTAATTGTTACATAATATAATACAATACTTTTTCATCCACATTCCATAATCAGATCAATCACCTAGGTGGACTCTGAACATTTTATGAAAGTTCTTTATTTGATTATGATAAGCAGCCAGTATCAAGAATCCCTGATATAATGCAAGTAAAATGTTTAGTACAAAACCTCAGACATTTTAAATGCTTAATGTGTTAGGTGACATTATTACTATTATTATTTTTGTTGTTATTCATTTTTTAAAATTTATATTTTACTTTATCAGTTTCACTAAGGGATTATTAATTCTATTACTTTTCCCAAAGCATGAACTTATTTAGCTATCTTGATTTTCTCTGATGTACATTTGTTTCTACTTAATTAACTTTTGCTCTTATCTTTATTATTTTCTTTCTTCTGTTTTGTTACATTTAATTTGTTCTGGTTATTGATTTTCAGTCATCCTTTTTTTCTAATATGTGCATTTAAGGGAAGAAATCTCCTTCAAAACAAGGCTTTAGATAAATTGCACACATTTTTATCATAATCATGCTGTCATTCATCTCAAAATATTTTCTAATTACCAATGCAATTTATTATTTGACCTGTGGGTTATACAGAAGTCAGAAGTATGTTGTTTCATTTACAGTGATATGGAGGTTTCCTAATTTTCTTCTTCTTATCAATATCTAGCTTAATACTTCCCTGTTTAAGTAACACATTTTGTATGTGTAATTTAAAGTGTGGCTTTTATACTTTAAAGTTGGCTAATACTTACTATAACACCCAGAATATGGTTAATTTTTTGTGGTGGTTGAGTACAGAATTTCCTTATGTACAATACAATTTTTTTTTATCATGTAGTTCAAACCTTCTTTATCCTTATTAATTTTTGGTATTCTTTTTTATCAGCTACTGAAAAAGATGTGTTAAAATCTATTTGTCTTTTACTTTTTAATTCACACAAAATTTATTTGAAAGATTTTGAAGCTATGCCATTAGAGTTATTCAAATCTAGAATTGTTTTACATTCCTGATGGATTGAACTTTTTACCTTTATAAGATGTTTCTCTTTGTCTTTAGTAATACTTCTTGAATTAAAGTCTATTTCTGTTTTCCTGTGAAGTGTAATTGGTCCAGCTTTCTTCTGGCTAATATTTGCATGGTATATATTTTCTCTTTTTTAAATTTTCAATCTTTGTGAACCACTTTTTAAGCTATGCTTCTGTAAGCAGCATGTATTTTAAACTTTTGCTTTGATTTTTATATAGTCCGATACCTCTGTTTTTAAATGGAGTAATCTATTGATATTTAGTATAGTTTGTGATATAATTTTGTTTATATTGGCCATTCACTATTTGTTTTCTATTTATTCTTTTTTCCTACTGTCTTCTTTCTTGCCTTCATGTGAATTAATCAAGTTTACTCTTATTATTATTCCACACTTGTCCTCTATTAGATATTAGTTGTATATTCTTGGGTTTATTCTTCTAGCAGTCACTCTAGAGATTACAACATGTATCCTTGAATTAAAACTAAAAATTAGTACATTTAGCATTTTTCAGTAAGGGAAGGAACTTAGAGAACTTTAACTTCATTTACTCATCCTATTTTTGTGCTATTGTTTTCCTGAATTTTAATCATATGTATGTATGCATATACATGTGTACATATGCACACATATATATTTGAACCCTGAAAGTCATTGTTATTTTAATTTCTATAAAGTATTTATTTGTGTGTAATCATTTATTTATCTCTTTCAGTATTCCTCATCACTCCTTCCTGTTTTTCCAAGATTAAAAATCAGGGATCATTATTTTAGAGTCTGTGGAACTTTTTTTAGTACTGTGTATGGTGAGTCTGTGGGCAATAGATTATTTCAGATTTTGTTTGTCTTAAAAGATCTTTGCTTCACTTCTATTTTTTAAAGATCTGTTGTTGGATACAGAATTTTTGGGATGTTAATTTTTCTCTTTAACAATTATATTCCATTTCTGACTTCCACTGTTTTAGCAGGAGTTGGCCATAATTTTTACTGGTTTTGGCTCCTTTGAAAATCATGTGTTTACTTTTTCTTGCTGTTCTGAGCAATTTGTTTTTTGGGGTTTTCATCTTAGTTTCACTGAGATATGCCTAGGTGTGCTTAACTTTGTATTTTTCTTGAGTGGTGATCACAGCATTTCTTGACTTTGTGGCTTGACATATTTTTAATTTAAAAAAATTCTCACCCACATATGTATCTAGAAGTGTACTTCAGGTATTATTTTAACCCCATTGTTGCTGTTGTCCTTCTTGCCCTCTACCTGGGTATATGTTACTTTTTGGCTGCCATGTGCCATGTGTTTCTAAACTTTTTCCATCATTTTTTCTTGATATTTTAGTATAAATATTTTGTAGCAAGTTATCTTTTAGGCTACTGATCTTGTCTTATACTCTGTCTAATCTGCTGTTGAACTCATCTAATTAGTTCTTAGTGTGTTTAATATCTTGCACTTCAAGATCTGGAAGCCTTAGTCATCCTAAACTGTATTTGTCTCCTAAATGCTGTTAAATTGTCAAAAGCTTTGGGCTGCCACTGTCTACTCAGCATCTCGTCCATGCTTATCTAGAATTAGCAAATTCCTTAAAGTAGACTTGGCAAAGAACAGCAGGCTCACTTCAGTGCTTTTTCCTTGTTCCTGAAATGTTGGCCTTTCAAGGTCTGGCTACCTTATTTATTCTCTGATAATTTTAAACAGTTGGCCTTATTTTAATTTTTTTTCAAAGTTCTGCACTTATTCCAGTTAGTAGGGTTATTCTAAAATAAGTTTTTCAGTCAGAATGAGAAATGAAAGTCACTGGTCTCTGTTCTTAAAAGTATTATATTAGTAAGTTTAAAGATAAGATTGAAAACAAGCCCCAAATTATTAAATTCTATTATAAAGCATAGATATGGCAGTTAAAATCAGTTCCTAAGATATTCACAAGTGTTCTGCAGAAAAATGTATCCTCCATTTTCATACAAGTGCCTATTTTTTTAGGGCCAAACATATGGACAAAAATAATAACAATAACAAAATACTAAAGGTTAGTAGTGGCGGAAAAAGGATTTTGAATTTACTCCTTTAGAATGTTGGAGTCCAGTAGGCTTGGGACGTTTTAATCACTATTACTAAATTTGGCTTGGTACCCATCTTTTAATAAAGTATTGGCACAGTGAGGTAAAGTGCTCCTAAGGGAGTCATGTTTTCTCAATGTGACAATTAAATGTCCCTGAACCACCCAGTTTTGATGAAAGGAGGTTTGGAATGTTAAAAATATGTTTAGTTAATTGGTAACAAAAACATCATAAAGTTACCACTATTAATATTTATTGAGTTTTCTTTTGTGCCAGACATTGTGCTCATTTACACTGAATTATATTTCTTAACTCTAATTTTCTGAATGAGGAAGATGAGGTGAAATTATTTTCCTAAGGTTATATAATCTTTAAGGGCTTGAGGTAGGCTTAAACCAGAGCGTCTGTGACTCCAAAGCCCATACTATTAACCACTTATTATGCTGCCCTAAGAAACTTAGGAAGTTACATAATTTTATATTTTTATTATTTTGTATTTTATTCATTTTAGTTTTAGATTCAAGGGGTACATGTGCAGGTTTGCTACTTGGATACATTTTGTGATGCTGAGGTTTGGGCTGCTATAACCCATTACCAAAATAGTGAACATAGTAGGCAACAGGTAATTTTTCAACCCTTACCACCCTTCCTCCTTCCTGCCTTTTTGAGTTTCTAGAATGGGTTTTTCCAATCATTTCGTCCATATGAACTCAATATTTAGCTCACACTTATAAGTGAGAATATATGGTATTTGGTTTTCTGTGCCTGCATTAATTCACTTAAGAATATTGCACCTAGCTCTGTCCATGTTGCTGCAAAAAACTTAATTCTGTTCTTTTTACGGCTACATAGTATTGCGTGGTGTACATTTACCATTGATGAGACCTGGGTTGAATCCATGTCTTTGCTATTATCAATGGTGCTTAGTGTTGTGATAAAAATACAAGCACAGGTGTCTTTTCAGTAGAAAAATATATTTTCCTTTGGGTATATACCCAATAATGGGATTGCTGGGTTGAATAGTAGTTCTATTTTTAGGTATTTGAGAAATGTCTCAACTGCTTTCCACAGTGGCTGAAGTAATTTACTTTCCCACCAACAGTGTATAAGCAGTCCCTTTTCTTCACATCTTTGCCAACATCTGCTTTTTTTTTTCTTTTTCTTATTAACAATAGCCATTCTGATTGGTGGGAGATGATATCTCATTGTGGTTTTGATTTGCATTTCTCTGATGATTAGTGATGATGAGTATTTTTCATATCTTTATTGGCTGCTAGTATGTCTTCTTTCAAGAAATGCCTGTTCATGTGCTTTGCTTACTTTTTAGTTTTTTTTTGTCGTTGATTTTAGTATCCTATAGATTTTGGTTATTAGTCCTTTGTCAGAAGCATAGTTTGCAAATATTTTCTCCCATTTTGTAGGTTGTCTATCTACTCCTTAGATAGTTTCTTTTGCTGTTCAGAAGCTCTTTAGGTTAATTGGATCCCAAGTGTTTATTTTTGTTTTTGTTGTGTTTGCTTTTGAGAGCTCACTCATAAATTCTTTGCCTAAGGAATTTTCCAGAATAGGGTGTCCTTGATTTTCTTCTAGTATTTTTATTGTTTGAGGTCTTAAATTTAAGTTTTATGCCATCTTGAGTTGATTTTTGTATATAATGAGAGGTAGGGACCCAGTTTTATTCTTCTCCTTATAGTTAGCCAGTTTTCCCAGCACTGCTTACTGAATAGGGTTTCATTCCACACTGTTTATTTCTGCCAATTTTGTCAAAAATCAGTTGGTTGTATGTGTTTGGAATGTGATGCCTCTGGATTTTTTCTTTTGCTTTGGATGGCTTTTGCTATCCAAATTACTTTTTGCAGGGGGGTACATGTTAATTTTGGGATAGTTTTTTCCTAATTATTTGTACAATAACACTGGGAATTTGATAGCAATTGCATTGAGTCTGTAGATTGCTTTGGACAGTATAAATATTTCAATAATGTTGATACATTCAATCCATGGGCATGGATTATTTTTTCATGCTTTTGCGTCATCAATGATTTTGTTTAGCAATGTTTTGTTATTATCTTTGTAGATAACTTCATCTGCTTGATAAGATGTATTCGTAAGTATTTTATTTTTATTTTTGGCTACAGTAAATGGGAATGCACTCTTGATTTGGTTCTCAAATTAAATATTATCAATATATAGAAATTCTACTGACTTTTGTATGTTGATTTTGTATGCTAAGACTACTGAAGTCATTAATCAGGCTTAGTACTCATTTGGCAGAATCGTTGGAGTTTTCTAGATATAGAATCATATAATCAACAAAAAGATAATTGTACTTCCTCTTTTTCTATTTGTATGTCATTTATTTCTTCATTTTCCCTGATGTTCTGGCCAAGAATTCCAATACTACGTTGAACTAGAGTGGTGATATTGAACATCTTTGTCGTGGTCCAGTTCATAGGGGGAATGGTTCCATCTTTTGCCCATGCAGTTTGATTTTGGCTGTGGATTTGTCATAAATGACTCTTATTATTTTGAGGTTTGTTCCTTATATTTGTAAAGAGGGTTTTTATCATGAAGCTCTATTGGCTTTTATTGAATGCTTTTAATATTCAATGCATCTATTGATATTGAATACATCTATTGAGATAATAGTGAGATTTTTGTTTTTAAGTCTGTTTATATAGTGAATCATGTTTAATGATTTGCATATGTTAAAACATTTTAACATCCTAGGATCCTAGGAATAAATTCCACTTGATCATGGTGATTTACCTTTTGATGTGCTGCTAGATTTGGTTTGCTAGAATATTATTGATAATTTTTGCATCGGTTCATCAAAGATATTGGCCTGTAGTTTACTTTTTGTTGTTGTTGTGTCCTTGCCAGAATTTGGTATCAGGATGAAGCTGGTTTCAAAGATTAAATTAGGGAAATATCCCTTCTACTTAAGTTTTTGAATAGTTTCACAGGATTGATACCAACTTTTCTTGGCATATCAAGTATAATTTGGCTACGAATTCTTTTGTCAAATGGTTTTTTTTTGGTTGGTACATTTTATATTACTGATTCAATTCTGTAACTACTTATTGATCTGTTCAGGGTTTTAATTTCTTTCTGGTTCATTCTTGGGAGATTGTACGTTTTCAGGAATTTATTCATTTCCTCTAGATTGTCTAGTTTGTGTGCATAGAGATGTTCACAGAAGCCTCTGAGAAACTTTTGTATTTCTTTGGGATTAGTTGTACTGTTATTTTTGTCATTTCTAATTGTTCATACTTGGATTTTTTATTTATTTTTGTTGATCTAGCTAGTGGTCTATTTTTTTTTATCCTTTCAAATAAACAACTTTTCATTTCATTGATTTCAAATAAATTTCATGGTCACAATTTATTTTAGCTCTGCTATTATTTTATTGATTACTTTTTTCTTCTAGCTTTTGGCTTAGTTTTTCCTTGTTCTTATTGTTTATTTATGTGTGAGGTTAGGTTTTCAATTTCAGAACATTTTATCTTCTTGATATTTATGGTTAACAATATAGACTTTCCTCCTAGCAGTGCTTTTGCCA
Source organism: Homo sapiens (assembly GCF_000001405.40). Classification (NCBI taxonomy): domain Eukaryota; kingdom Metazoa; phylum Chordata; class Mammalia; order Primates; family Hominidae; genus Homo; species Homo sapiens. The sequence continues at coordinate 82,602,632 of NC_000023.11, read as the reverse complement.
CACCCCAGAGGTTTTGGAATGCTGTGCTCCAATTTTAATTTGTTTCAAAAAATTTTTATTTCTGCCATAATTTTAATGTTTACCCAAAGTTATTAAGTTCACCTATTCAGACACACATAGACAGAAAATAAAGATATAGAAAAAAGATATTCTATGACAATGAAAACCAAAAATAGCAGGAGTAGCTATACTTAATGTGAAACAAAGTAAATTTCAAGACAAAAAACTATAAGAAGAGACAGAGGAGGTCACTATATAATAATAAATGGGTCACTTCAGCAAGAGAATATAACAATTTTAAATATAACATATGCAACAACAGTAGATCATCCAGATCGATAAAGCAAATATTATTAGAGTTAAGGAGAGAGACAGACTCAAACACAATAATAGCTGAAGATTTCAATACCATGCTTTCAGCATTGGATAGATCTCCCAGACAGAAAGTCAACAAAGAAATATCAGACTTATTCTGCATTATAGATCAAATAGATCCAATATTTAAAGAACATTTCATCCAACAGCTGAAGAGTACATATTCTTTCCCTCAGCACATGGAACATTATCAAAGATGGACCATATGTTAGGTCACAAAAAGTCTTAAAACAATAAAAGTTTGAAATATCTTCCCTGACCATGTTAGAATAAAACTAGAAATCAATAACAAAAGGAATTTTGGAAACTACACAAAGACATGGAAGTTAAACAAGATGCTCCTGAATGACCAGTGGATCTATGAATAAATTAACAAGGAAACTGTACGATTTATTGAAGCAAAGGATAATGGAAGTGCAGCATAGCAAAACTTATGAAATACAAAAAAAACAGTACTAAGAGGGAAGCTGATAACTATAAGCGCTTCAAAAAAGAAGAAAAACATTAAATAAATAACCTAATAATATATCTTGAATAACTAGAAAAGCAAGAGCAAATGAGACCCAAGATTAGTGGGAGAAAAGAAATAATAAAGACCAGAGCAGAAATAAATGAAATTGAAATTAAAAAAACAATGCAAGATATCAATGAAACAAAAAGCTTTTTTGAAGTTAAACTTGACAAACGATTAGCCAGAGTAACTAAGAAAAAAGAAGATACAAGTAAATGAAATCAGAAATGAAAAATGAGACATTGAAGCTTATTCCACAGAAACTGGAAGGATCATTTATGAATACTCTGAGCAACTACATGCTAAGAAATGGAAAAATCTGAAAGACATTGGCAAATTCTTAGACATATACAATGTACCAAGATTGAACCAGGAAGAAACAAAAAACCTGAACAGATCAATAACAAATAACAAATAACAAAATCAAAGTCATAATACAAACTCTCCCAGTAGAGAAAAGCCTAAAGACTTCACTACTAAATTCTACCAAACATTTAAAGAATAATTATTACCATACTACTCAAACTATTCTGAAAAAAAAAGGAGTAGGAGAAAATACCTCCAAACTCATTCTATGAATCCAGGATTACCCTGATACCCTAACCAGATAAAAACACATCAAAATAAAAACTACAGACCAATATCTCTGATAATATCTCTGATGATTGATGAAAAACTTCTGAACAAAATACTAGCAAACTGAATTAAATAATACATAAAAAATATTTATCATGATTGAGTAGAATTTATCCCTCAGATGCAAGGATGGTTTAACATATGCAAATCAATCAACATGATACATCATATCAATAGAATAAAGTGAGAAAATCCATATAATCATTTCAAATGATGCTAAAAAAGCATTAGATAAAATTAAACATCCTTCATGATAAAAACACTGAAAAAATGAGTATAGAAGAAACATAACTCAACATAATAAAAACTATAAATGACAGACCCACAAGCTAGTATTATAGTGAATGAGAAAAACTGAAAGTCTTTCCTCCTTAGGTCCAGAACGAGAGAAGAATGCCCACTTTCATGATTGTTATTCAACGTAGGACTGAAAGTCCTAGCTAGGGCAATGAGACAAGAAAAAAATATAAAGGACATCCAAATTAAAAAAAAAAAAAAGAAATTATCTTTGTTTGCATCTTTTGCTTTAAATCCAATTTGTCACACTGTCTTTTCATTGAAGCATGTAGGCCATTTACTTTCAAAGTTAGTATTTATATGTGAGTTTATTTCCTTCATAATGTTTTTACCTAATAGTTTTGTAGTCTTCATTCAGTAATTGCTTTATTAGGTCTTTGGGATATGTACTTACATGTGCTTTTGTGGTAACAGACATCATTCTTTTGTGTCTATATTGAGAATTCCCTTAAGCAGCTCCTGTATGGAGGCCCTGGCCATGACAAATCCTCTTAGCATTTGCTTATCTTAGAAAGACTTTATTTCTCTTTAGTTTTTGAAGCTCAATTTGGTAGAATATGAAATTCTTGGCTGGCATGTCTTTTCTTTAAGAATGCCAAAGATAGACCCTCAATATCTTCTGGCTTGTAAGCTTTGCACTGAGATATCTGCTATTAGTCTGATGGGATTCTCTTTATAAGTAATTTGACTTTGTTCTCTAGCTGCATTTAAGATTTTTTCTTTCATCTTGAAATTGGAAAGTCTGACAACTATGTACCTAGAGGATGGTCATCTTGTATAGAAACTTACATGAGTTCTCTTTTGTCTTTTATCTGCCTGTTAACATCTATAGCAAGATTGGGTATATTTTTCTGAATTATACCTTCATATATGTTGTCCAATTTGCTTACTTTCTCTTCTTCTCTTCAGGAATGCCAATAAGTCTCAGGTTTGGTCATTTTACATAATCCCATATTTCTCAAAAATATTGTTCATTTTTAAAAAAAACTTTTTTTGTCTAACTGGGTTCATTGACAGGACCAGTATTCAAGTTCTTTAACTTTTTCTTCTGCTTGGTCTAGTCTGTTGTTAAGATTTTCAACTGTATTTTGAAATTCTTGTAGTAATTTTTTTAGTTCTAGAAGTTATGTTTGGTTCTTTCTTTCTTTTTTTTTTTTTTTTGAGACAGAGTCTCACTCTGTTGCCCAGGCTGGAGTGCAGTAGCGTGATCCCTGCTCACTGCAACCTCTGCCTCTCTGGTTCAAGCTATTCTCCTGCCTCAGCCTCCTGAGTAGCTGGGATTACAGGCGCACGTCACCACGCCCGGCTAATTTTTGTATTTTTAGTAGAGACGGGATTTCATCATGTTGGTCAGGCTGATCTCGAACTCCTGACCTCGTGATCTGCCCGCCTCAGCCTCCCAAAGTGCTGGGATTACAGGTGTGAGCCACCACACCCAGCTGGTTCTTTCTTATTATAGCTATATCTTGTTTCAAAGCTTGGATCATCTTTCTTGCTTCTTTGTATTGGATTTTTACTTTTTCTTGGATCTCATTGAGTTTCCTTGTCATTAATATTCTGATTTCTATATTTCTCACTTCAAACATTTCAATCTGGTTAGGATCCATTGTGGGGAAGCTAAGGCAATCCTTTGGTGTTGATTAAACGTTCTGGCTTTTTTGTATTACCAGAGTTATTGTGCTGTTTTCTTCTCATATGAGGGAACCTAAGCTTCTTTCTTTCTTTCTTTGAATTTGCTATTGTTTGAATGGGGATTTTTATTTATTTTTTCCCTTGAGGCTATGACTGTGGTGTATGTTGTGTATGATCAATTGGCTTTATTTCTGGGTGCTTTCAGAGGGCCAGTGCTCTGTAGGGTTACCTTGGCTGCAGATATATTCATGTGATTTATTTATCAAATGCTGCTTGTTGTAGTGAGGCATTTTTCTTTGGTGGTATAATTCAGGTTGCAGTCCAGTAGATAATGATTAAGAGTAAGATCCAGAATGTAGGATCTTCTTTAGTGTGCCCACTCTCATTGGGGGTGGAGCTGCCTGAGAAGTGTGAAGAGCACACTCACAAAGAGTGTGGTTTCCTTTGGTAGGGGTAGGGCCACCAGAAATGTGTGAAAAGCAGTTTCATTCAGGGCACACTCAATAGGCCTCAATGGGAAGACTCACTGATGTGTCTGCAACAGTGCACTGGTGAGTGGGATGGGGGAAGGAGTTGACTCCCTCTCCATGTCTATTCCCAGGCTTTGATGGTGCCCCCTTAAGCGGCTGCTGCCATATCCATATTTCCTTTGTCCTATGGGTGGTCTTGGCAGGCCGTGCTCCCCGATCCCTAAAGGGTTTCCACAATTAAGGTTAAATATTCAGGTGACCTACAACTCACTAGGGACTCACTAGTCCTCTATCCTTGCCAAACTCAGAGTGGATTGTGGGGTATGGCTGCAGGTGGTGTGGTGGTGCAGTGGCTCAAAGGCAAAAGATTCCTGGGAAAGGCAGTGGCACAATGAGTGCATAACCAGTAGGGCATCTGCTGTCTCAGCCTGGGTTTAAGGAGGGAGGTGGCATGGCCACACGAGCTGACCACCTAGTTCTCTGTTTCCATGAAGATCTCTAATCACCACCAATATTGTTGCTCTGAGATGCAGGGGCATAGGTCTCCCCAATACTTGAGTGATCAGCAGATTGTCAGAGTTGTGAGGAGCGCAGACCTACTCCTACTTACCCTTTCCACTGAGCTTTAAGCTCCTTTGGGGTTGATTTCAGCCAGACTTTTGCTTCTTTTTTTCTTTGCATCACAGTCTCTTCCCATGGGTGTTTGGACAGGTCCTGCCTCTTCTCCCTCTCTTTTCCTCTTAAAACTTGCCCATACACTTTCACATTTTTTCTTCCTTCAGAAGAGAACTAGCCAGTATAGATTTTAAACGCAATCACATCCAGAAATTGCCAAATTTAGGCTTTATTGGCACTTGAACTACATTTTCCCCTTATCTCTATCTAGCCAATTCCAGTCTGGTTCTCAATTCAGCTCAAGTTTTATTTCTTCCATGGGGTCTTTAACAACTCCAGCCCAGACAAGGTCTTTAGAAAAAAAACTTGGTGGAAAGTGTGGAGGTAGTACATGATGAAGGATATGGCAGTGAAGAACATTGTCTAATGAGGCAGAATATTTGGGTTTGACTTCTGGCTCCAATATTTCTAACTTAAATCTTTAGCAAGTAACATCAATCTAAATTTCCATATATATAAAATGGTGAGGAAAATAGTAAAGATTGTCAGGATGCTTAAATGAATGCACATGAATTTAAAAAATTCATTCCAGGCTGAGAAAAAATGTTTCACAAACATCGTTATTATTATTTTCTCTTCTGTGTGCTCCTTGAGACTGTGAGCTCTTTTATAGTGCGGTGTGTGCTTCATTCATGTATACATTTCCAAGGCTTGGTTTATTTCTTGGCACTGAGTAAGCTTTCAGTGATTTTTCTTTTAGTCGTTGAAGACTATGCTAAAGAGCAGGAAGAGACAGATCTCTAATAAAATAATAGAGTTTAATAAGAGAAAGATCCCATTAGAGTTATATCATCTTTATTCTACAATCTTTTATTGCATACCTATCAAATGCAAGTACTTCAGTAAAAATTTCTCACTTTACAAAATTTTGATCTTTATTATTTTCTAAGAATTTTCACATCAATTGACAACTTTGGTCCTCAAAATAACGCTGTGAAGTAAATGTGGAACTAATTATTATCCCCACTCTACATATGAGGAAAATTGTGGAACATAAAAATTATATATTTTGTCCCCTAAGGATACATAGTAGCAAAGCAAGACTTAGCATCCAGATATTGGTTCCCATCTACTTCTCACAGCTACTACATTATCAAGGGCTCACAAAGCCAAAAATATCTCTATAATTGTTAATAATTCACATCTGAGAAGCTACATTCTGCATTCCTATGTTTTTCATGTATTTTTAACAACGAAATATACATTACATGAGGTAAAATTCAGCCTTTTGTTGTATAGCTCCATGTAATCTCACAGATGGATACTATTGTATAACCACCAGCATAATCAAGACATAGAATACTTTTACAATCACAAAAATAATCTCATACTTCCCCTTCATAGTCAACACTCTCTTCTCTCCCAGACCCTAGCAAGCACTCATCCGTTCTCCATAACTACTGTTTCCTTTGCTATTTATACTAATGAACTAATATATTATATTGCCTTTTGAGTGGGCCTATTTTCACTTAGTATAATGCATTTGAGATTAATCCATGCTGCTGTGTGCATCAATAGTTTGTTTTTCTATTGTTGAGTAGTATTCCAATGTATAGAAGAACTACATTTTTTTTTCTGTTCTCGTGATAGAAAATATTTTCTTGGTTTTTTTTTAAATTTTTTAAACTATAAATGGAGACAACATAAACGTTGTTGTTTAGATATTTATGTGAATGTCAGTTTTCCATTTACCTGGGTTTACATCTAGGAGTGCAATAACAATGTCATATGGAAAGTGTATATTTAATATTATGGGAAGCTTCCAAACTGCTTTCCAGAGTTTTTGTCCTATTTTGCATCCCCTTCATCAATGTCAAGAATGTCGGCACTTGATATTATCAGTTAGTTTTATTTTAGCCATTCTAATAGGCTAAAATATGATAGTATCTCATTTTGATTTCAATTTGCATTTTCCCAATGGCTAATGCTATAGGACATATTTTTATGTTCTCATTTATGATTTTTATTTTCTTTTTTGGTGAAGTGTCTGCTCACATCTTTCTCACCCTTAAAAATGTTTCCTTTTAATTATTTTGAGTTTTGAATATTATTTATATCGTGTGGATACAAGTCTTTTATGATTATGTTTGCTAATATTTTCCCCTGGTCTGTAATTTAAACTGTAGTTCTCTTAACAGTGTCTTTGGAGTGCAAAATATTTTTTAAATTAAGTTCAATTGATCATTGTTTTCCTTTTACAGCATCTGATTTTGATGTTGTGCCTAAGCATCACTGCCTGATACAAAATCATAAAGATTTCCTCCTATATATCTTTTTAAAAATAGTAAATTCCTCCAGATCACTAAGAATCTTTCTATACTCTTCATTTATTCAACATATAGCATATTTATGCTACATATTTTTAGAAATGCTGATAAAAATTAACTACTCATGTGGATTTAATTTTATGGCACAAAAATTACTTACCTGGTTCCAAGCTACTTGAAAATTCCCACATGAATCTGCCACATAGGGTTAGTAAATTTATGATATATCATTTCAAATTCCAGGATAATTTTATCCATAAAGTCATATAGTTGCTCAAGTCATTGAAAAAACAGTATGTTTAATCAGTTATTTCAATAATTTGATGGTTTGATTCAAGCTATGTCTATATTCACCCATTGGCTTGATTTCTACTTAACTTGATACATGAGTAGTCAAATCAATTTGGGAATTTACATGTAACCCTGAGTGAATTTAGATGTAATCCTGACCTTGATAGTCACAGGTAAATACAACATATATGTAGAATAAAACCTGAGTTTTTTTTCAAAAACAGCTTGCTTTTATGTGGTTTTCAGCTGTGAATCTAATCTAGTATCAAAAGATACAGGCTAGGCCCACTAAATATATTTTTATATATTTCAGAAAAGCACTCCTTTCCTCTTCCTCCCACATACTGTCTAACTTCACCTCAGGCTATGGAGAGAGTGGGTGACTGAAGGCAAAATAAATTATAGTAACGAGTCATTGAGTTCAAGAGCTTGTGTGAGGTTGAAGCAGGAAAGTGAACCCCTAAATATACATTCCCTATTTCTCTACTCCTGACCAGAGAATGACTGTCCTCTAATAGGGATGGTCATCCCCTTCCAGCAGTGTAAGCTTTGAGACAGATGTACTTGGGGGCAGCAAAGTAGGATGGGGCCACCTATTTCACAAGCCTGATCATCCAAGTCAATCAATGCAGTAACAGATGTCTCAGCCTGATTGATCACATGCCTAGGCATAATTGGTAGACTAATAACTGTCACCTGTGATATGTGGTAACATTGGACTAGGATTAACTACATTATTATGACTGAATGTAATGAGTAACATATAAATAAAGTGACAAAAGAAAAGCAAACATCTAAGTAAAAAAAAAATTATACTATATAGTACCCAGTGAAATTTGACATACTATAGAAGGATTTTTTTTGTTGTTATCGTTGCTCCATTGAGAAAACTTAAATTTTTGCAAATGCTGTCTTCCAACCACAAACATTAGGGATTTCACATTTTTAGCTAGAATTCTTAAATATCAGAGGAAAAATGTGACATATAGGCCAACTCTACATCTTAAACTTCTTTACTACATACAAAAGCTGAGGCCTTGGGAAAAGAATTTCTTCCTGTTTGCAGTTAATGAGTGCAAAACTGGCAAAAACTGGTTTTAAAACTTAGCTCCCTGATTTGCTCATGGTACTTTCCTCTAACTCTCATTTTGACTTCCTACTGCTATGAGCTATCATAATTTATTGAATTTAGTAAGTGCTGCTGAATGATTAAAACTTTTGGATGTGACTTCAAGTTTTTGAAGTGAAAAATATTTATGTTTAAGAAAAATTCTATTCAATACATTTTTTATAGTCACGTTCATGGACATAACGACATTCTTAGAAACAGGTAACGTTACAGTTCTGCTTCTCTGGGATATACTGCTTCTTGAGGTTGTGTATCAACCATTGAAACACTATATATGGCAAAAATTTTAAATAACAAAACACATTTTTGGGTTGTTATAAAATTCTGCTACTTCAGACATGTTCTGTTAAATTATGTAGTAGCCAAGGAGTAGAAAATCAGATTATAAGAGCCAACTTACCATAATAAAACAACATATTTCTAATTTTAGTACAACATAAATGTCTAGCCCATTGTTTTCCAAACTGTCTTATATAGAACAGTTGCTCTGTAGAAAATTATAATTATTCTTGGGATGAAAAAGTTACTTTTGTGATCAAATAAATATTGGAAGTGTTGGATGACATAAAGTTTGCAAGGTTTCTTTATCACAATATTTCTAAAGAAGTGTACACTAAAGTAGCTATAGTCCAGACGGCATAGGACCTGTTATAGTATTGATTGTGTTTACTATTCTAAGTTTTATGAAGAGTTTTAAATAGGAAAATGAAACAATTTTCAAGGATACCAATTAAGAGAATATTGCAATAGTTTAGGCAAGATATAATGGAGATTTGGACCAGGATAGTGGCAATAGAAGTGATACAATGTGGTCACATTCTAGCTATATTTTTAAGGTAGAGCCAACATAGAGCCAACAAAATTCACTAACAGAATTGATACAGGATATGAGAGATCAAGAGAAGTCAAGAAGGCCTATTAGGTTTTGGATCTAATCAACTGGCAAATGGTTATGTTACTGAGGCAGGGATGACTAAAAGAGGTGTGGGAGTTGCTATTAGGAGGTGGGGTTGGGAGCAATTATTTATTTTTGAACATGTGAAATTTGAGATGCCTATAAGTCATCCAGGTAGAAATGTTAACTAAGCAGTCAGAAATATGTCTGAAGGTCAAGGGTGAGTTGATGTTGGAGATATAAATTTTGGAGTCAGTCATGTAAATGTAGAATTTAAAAGCCATGAAACTAGAAATAATAATCTAAGAAGACAGTACAAACTGAAAAGAATTTTAAGGAATAATTCTTGAAATATTCCAAAATTTATTAGTCAAGGAGGTGAGGATGAGTCAACAAATGATACTGAATAATAATTATCAGATGAGTTAAGAGCAAAACAAGAAAAGTGTGGTGTCTCAGAACCTTAGTCAAAGTGTTTTAAAGAGAAGCGATTGATCCTTTGTGCCAAATGCTGCTCAGAAATCAAAGAAGATGAAGACTGAGACACGACTACTTGGTAACATGAATTTCTGTAACATGAAGTACAGTTTTGAGGTGAGAACAAAATCCTGATTGGAGTAGGATGGGAAGGCAAATAAATGGAAATTATAAATATAAACTACTATGTAAGGAGTTTTGCTATGATAAAAAGAGACATTGGGTTTGAAGAATAAAAGGGGTTAAATGACGGAGTCTTTAAGGTTCTTATTGTTTTGCTTTTTGTTTTCTGTTGTTTTGTTTTAATGTGGGAGAAAATACAGCATTTTGTTTGCTCATGGGAAAGATCCTCTAGTGAGGGGGAAAACATGGCGCAGAAGGGATGAAACAAGTAGTGACATCCTTGAGTGCTTCCCAGGTGGAAGAGTTGGAGTTAGGTAGAAACCTAGTTTATCCCTAATAATAAGGAAGGAGCACAAAGAAAATATCAACATATGCAAGTATGCAGGTATACTCAATGGTCGGAAGATGAAGCAGCACTCTTCTGATGCCTTGTATTTTCTCAGATATATAAAACAAGATCATCAGTTCAGAGTGGGGAAAAAGAGAGGAAGGACTAGAGTACTAAAGAAAGGAAAGGAAATGTAAAATAGTCATCTTTGGAAACAGGAGAGTGAATTTACTTGGGCAGGAGTTCATACAGTATGGCCTGTAATTTAATCTGGCCACTGCCTGTTTTTGTAAATAAAGTTCTATTGGAACATAGCCATGCTTATTTTTATGTGCTACCTTGGCTGCTTTACAATAGCAAATTTGAATATTTGCAAGAGACCCCATGGCCCACAATCCCTAAAATATGTACTATTAGATCTTTTGCAGAAAATATTTGCCAATTCCTGAATTAGGGGTATGTAGTTAAATTGCTTGGACCCACTTGAGACTTTCTGACATACATTGAAAGTGAGGTGAATAAACATGGTTTTATATTTCCTTTCAACCTTATTGAATTGTTCAGGGACAGTTATGGAGTAGGCAAAGAGTGGAATTTAAACAAGGTTTTATTTTTCCAGGAAATTATATGTGAGGGAAAAAAGAGTCTAAGAAGTTATGGGTCTGGGTAATTATAATAGATTATGGAATCTAGGGAAGGTAATCAATAAAGTGAGAATAAAAATGAAAAGGGGAGTCTGGGAGGGGCACATCAGCAAGATGGTGGACGAAAGCTCCAGACATTTCTTTAGCCATGAAGGTAATGATTCAACAACAATACATAAACAATGTCCGTTTGTAAAAATCCAAAAACCAGTTAATATGCTTTTGAACCCCCAGGCAAATACAAAACCAGCTGTATTAAAGCCAGCTCATTCATGACCTCACTTGCCATAGTTCTTCCTCTTTGCTTAACGTAGAATGATCAAGAGGAAACTCTTAGCTCTCAAGTTGTCTCTGGGGAGGAAAACAGAAGACTGAAACCTACATCCAACATTCAGACTTTTTGGGGGAATGACTAGAGAATATACATCTATTTTGCTTGAATCTAAGAACTAACAGGGAAGGGTGCCCAGTTGGGCATTAAGCAAAGAAAACAATTCAGAATAGCACAAAACCACTTAACATAGTACCTCCCTCCAGTTCATTAGAATTGAGCAGAAAACCCCCAAGTTTCAGCTTCTCCTTGAGCATGAAGAGTTCAATCATGAATCCAATATTCTGGCTTTTGGGGGGCTTCCTGGGGGATTTGTTTCCATCCCTCGCACAATAAAACAAAGAAAAAAAAAAGAAACTGAGAGAAGATATGCAGTTAAAAACAGGTAGGATAAATACTTGAGGTGATGAATACTTCATTTACCTTGATGTGATTATTACACATTGTATACCTGTATCAAAATATTCCATATACCCTATAAATACATACACCTGGTACATACCCACAAAAATTAAACATTTAAGAAATAGGGAGAAGAATAAGATTAGATGTTCCTGTGGGATTAAATAATTTTACAGAGGGCATAAGCATGGATAAACTGGAAAGAAGGCTTAAAATTGAACAAAGTACATGTAGAACGAGGGAAATGAGTGGTTGTATATGAGGTAAAGGAAGAGAGTTTGGGAGTCAGAATGTTAAAAACTTAGAGTCCAGTATTGGAATGATAGTATATACTAATCATAGAAGTAAGCCAATTTGATACTTCAAAGGAGCAAATGAGACAGCACATAAAGTTGGTAGGGATTTTTGGTAAATAGATACGTGAATGTGGATTATGCACAATAATATTTGGGAGATGACGAATAGCATTTCAACCATTGAAGAGAATTCTAGAGTTCAGTCACAGAATTCTGTCCTCAAGCCTGTACTATTTAACATTTTTGTTAAGTACTTTTAGACAAATATATCTGAGGAATAACATGAAGCTAAAGGGTCCAATGTGTTATTCTGGGGCTATGCTTTGTAATAAGCTCAACCCGAAAAAAATAATAGCATTCTCAATTACATTATATGTGTGCTTCTGAGGAAAGAAGTATTTAAACTGTTATTTTGATCAAAATAGATACATGTGATAAGATGGGCTGATAGGATTAAAAGAAAAAGAGTCCAGGAAACTCTGTATAGATGCCATGTGGGACCAATACAATCAAAATGCCTTTCTTGAACAATCTTGAAGAAAGATCAGTTAATTACATCCATATTCATTTATACAAGTTTTCTCCAGTCTTTCTCCCGACTCAGGAAGGCAGCATATAGCCTTGCCAATTCATTCACCAGGAAATGCTATTTCCATTTCTTCTCATCCCTGCTTTCAGGCTGATGTGTGGCAACTTTCACTGTGATCTATAACCCAAACCGAAAAAGATTCCCTGTCTTTGGAAATAACTACATAAGACATTGTTAGAAATTATTTTGTAAAATACTATCTAAGTTATAGGCCTTGATAGGAGAATGTATTTTTCTCTCAGATTAATCATGAGGAAAGGCACATAAATAGTTCTAAAAATAAAAGCAGATAAAATATTTATAAAAAATGACATTTCAGAATTAAAGCCAAATTTTTCTCAAAAAGGCCTGACATTTTATAAAGTTTGAATAGTATAACTGTTCCATGATACAGGTAAGCTCTCGGTTAAATTTTTAATTGTTTAAATTGAAGTGATTAACCTAACAATGACAATGAAAGCCTGAAAAACTACACAATGATATTAAGCCATAGCTAAATCTATACAAAGTGAGGTTTGTTGGCCTCTATTTTAAAGAATTTGTTTTGTCTGCTCTGCCAAATGTTCTCTGCAAATCCTGCTTACTTATTCCTCTTGATTCGACTGTCGGGGAATCTCCGTGGTGTGTACAGGAAATGACTCACAGAACCGGTTATTATTAAAATCTGAGTTCAAAAGAGATTTCAAAAGTTCAATGAACCTCCTCAAAGATATAATTTTTGTTTATTTTTATGCATGTCTATTTTTCTGCAGAAAAGGCTATGGATTTTATAAGAATCTTAAGGAGGTAGATGATGTCTCCACATCTCTCCAACACAGAAAAGTTTAAAAGAAAAATTTCTCTAAACATACCGGAACTTAGTGGCCTGTTGTTGTTAGTACTCAAATTCTCTGGCACCTGAACTTTATCATACAGCAGCAAGGGTTTATGAATTAAAAAAAAAAAAACACAGATTTGATGCTCATACCTACTGTACTCTGAACACTTTTAAGAAGAGTTCAAACTTTATTTTCAAATTGTGTATGTGTTTTATGGAAGGTTTCTGATGACCTGGGCAACATCCTTCGTGTTTTCATTTTGATATGGAGAAAATATAACTTCAGTAACTCGAGAAAAGCAGTTATGCAGTGCTTTGGGTTCTTAATGTGATCTTACAATCTATAATGTTTAATCTGAATTTCGTTCCTTTTACCAAACTGTCTTCCCTTTAGTGTAGGCGGGCACAATTTCTTTTTGTTGTTTTTATCCATTTGAGAATGGCTATAGAAAAAATGAAAAACAAATAAAAAATAGACAGTTTTGACTACTGCTATGGAAGGATTTATAGATGATATCATACCACACTTTATAAGAAAGTGATTTCAAGTTATCAAGATATACTGTTAATATAACCAGGAGGAAGGCAGCAAGTTCCTTAACTAAATTGGTTCAATCAATCCTGGCAATCATTAAGGTGCCAGATGTAACAGCCACATCACCCACACATCTCAGGAGTGGACTTGGCTTTCTTCCCATGCAGACAGCTTTAAATTCCACCTACCTGACTATACTAAGAATGCTTAATAGGCAGCTATATGATCAATTCTAACCATACACAGCATGTTTGCAGTGTTTTAACTAAACACTATTATAATTTCAAGTTTTATCTCAAAGTATTTTCTAGTGTTCTGATATAGGTTAATGGGTGATACATGGAGAAAGAGTTGACTAAAGTGACTTTTTTCTCTTAAATATTTATATCTGTTTAAGTAGTCCAGTGTTTTACATTGTAACTACCAGTGAGTTATTCTTCAGACTCTATTTCCCAAAATGTAATAATAATCACAGCCATTCAACACTCACTTGGTTTTTCATTTTGCTTCAATGGCATTCACATGAAACCAACACAACATTTCAAATTCAAATGGGTTATTTCAGCAATAAAAAATAACACGAAAGAGTAAAAAAACATAATAATATGTAGATTATAGTGATGTCTTCCAAAAGATTTGTGACATACAACTTTCACATATAAACCCATTGTAGATAGTAAAACATAAACTCAGCCAATCCTAACCCCTTCTCTGCTTTGGCACCAACTCATTACATTTCTGTGTATTTGTGTAACTAACTAAGCATGTCATCTCATTCGTTCTTCATAAGAAGCCTATGAAGGAGGCAGAGCAAGGATTACATTTCCCTAAGCTCAGTTCTGGCAACATGGATAGAATTGGAGGCCATTATCTTAAGTGAAATGATTAAAACACAGAAAGACAAACACTGCATGTTCTCAGTTATAAGTGAGAGCTAAACAGTGTACACACATGTAGGTGGAGTGCTGAATGATAGACAATGGAGACTCAGACAGGTGGAGGGTGGGAGGGGTGGAAGATAAGAAATTACTTAATAGGTACAATGTACATTATACAGATGATGGATACCCTAAAAACATTGGCTTTACTATGCAATCTATTCATGAAAATTACACTTGTAACCTATAAATTTATGTGAATAAAAATAATAAAAAATAAATGTTTGATCAATTAAAAACAAGTAAACAGCAATACTGTGACTAGAACTGGGTCTTTGCATAAGGATATAAGTTATCAATTTTAATTTATTATTAATTTCTTATGTATGTTGGTCTTGTCATCTTAAATAGATTAGAAAATAAACTCTATGAAATGAAAATGACGTCTGGTACTTTAGGATCCCTTCAACAGTTTCCACCATTATGCTTTGAATCAGCTGAGAACTCAATAAATCATTGTTGATTTCATTTAAGACAAGCTATGGAGACAAACCACTTTAATGTGGTTTTAAATATGAAGACTTAAGGCTTGTGAAGATAAAATGCAACATGTATATTTATAAATGGGGATTCTTGGGATTCTTAAATCTAAAAAGTTAAAAATTATCTCTTCTCCTTAAAAAGTCAACTTCTAATATTTTTACCCTTAAACTGGCATTGGATTAACACAGACTTTATGAAGTAATGTCAGAGATAACGCCTTTTCAGTGACATTATTGACTATGATTTAACATTATTTAGAAATAAACTATCAAATCTTAATTTTGTAATTCATTGTATAGGTCACAATTTTTCCATATTAAGATGCATATTTCATTGAATATGAATACTGATTTAAGGGAGCTGTTTAAAATAAGAACTTCCTGGGTACCATGCTGACACAATAGCCTAGTTACTTCATGAATGGGCTTTTAATAAGATCCATTAAATTCTGACATTGAGACTGTTTACTGTGAATACATATTAAGTTTCATATTAGAGGCAAGTACTTCTTTTCTTGATGTGACTCTTATAATAAATCAGCTGAATCCAAGATAAATAAAAAGAATGGTGTTTTCTGAACAAGCTGCCCTGTCAATTTATTCATATGTACAAAAGTAACTGCTATTGTGGCATAAAGAGTATGTTTTATCATTTTTCTCCTCTTTGGGCCATGAGAGGAAGAAGAAGAAAGAAAAAAAAACTTTACTGTGTATAAAACCTTTTGCACTTTGACATAAGTCCTTCCGGCCAAACCTCTTTGGATTGAAACAAACTTAAACCATATTCCATTTCAGAAAAGCAAAATGTGCTGAACATGTGGTTTTCAAAATAGAAGCATGTGCATCAACTGTTCTACATGAAGATCCTTTCTGAGAAAGGTCTCTGGGGAAAGTTCATTACCTAAAACTAGAGTACAGGAAAAGAGTGAAACAGACTGAGATCTAGCCTTCCCTTAAGTGGATAGCCCAGGCAGAGGCATAAGTGATATTTAATATGCACACCCAGGGCTCCTGTTGAGTGCCCTGTTTGGTAACCCGGATCAGGATGCTTGTTTAGTGGATAAAAGCGTAACTTTAGAAATTGGCAGGAACTCTTGTGCTTGGCCACCTGTATTCTCAGCCAGAGATGGTGGAAGAAGTTTTAAACAAGCACACATTTCAAACTTCATTCTATTTTGCTTTCTTATGACTTTCTGGTTTCAAAAGAGCCATTTATGAAACTACTGGTTTAAGGATGCATTGACAACATTCAGTGGCCGTTATGATAAAGTTTATATTCTGTTTTTCCATTGCTAAAATAATACCTTTTAAAGCTGTAAATATAAACTGAGAAAAGTAGACATTATCGTTGTTGCAATAGCTGGGTGAACTGCCATATGAATGGGTGTCTTTGTTGTAGTCTTGGCTACCAATAATACTATTTATATCTAAAGTAAATACTGTGAACTCTTAAAGCAGTCGGCACAGTCAATCAACAGTGGATATTAACACTTCAAGAAAACTATCCCTGCCAGTCTAGAAAAAGGGATGGGGCTGTGAATTTTAACCTAATAATATAATAATGTCTTCCTAGATCTCATTATGCCTTATGTCCATTTAAGGCCATCTGGGGCCCAGAATGATGAAAGAGTGGTGTAAATTTATGACCTCCGAGATCCAGCAATAGCCCTTTGGATATTAGGATGGATTAATTGATTTCCTGCTAATCTAAACACTGTGGGCCAAATTCTGCCTGACACATCTGCACTGTGTATCTCTGAAAATTGTAAAACGCTGGGCTTTTGAAAAGCTGACAGTGGCCTTTATGCTCTCGGCACAGGCTGCATATGTTTTCCTATCTAGTACATTTCTTCAAATCTGCATTTCCTACACATTTTCAATAACAGCTTCCTCCCACCTCCACCACACACAAACACACACACACACACACACACACACACACACACACACTCCATGGTAATGGCCATTGTCAGCAATAAACTTAAATTAGTCATGTTCTTTTCTAAACTAAGCAAACTTTGAGTTAATTTATGGGGAAAGATATACATTATATTAGAAAATGCACTTTTGCTTGTGATGCTTGTCAAAGTTCTAACTAATAGGAAGCGATCTGAAAATAAAATTTTGTATCCATTCCTGCTAAATCAGATTCAACTGCAAATTTGCAGCCATTATTTGAGGATAATCTTTGGAGTGTCTGAATTTTTAAAAATTACTGAGTCTGTGATGTCAAAACACAAATTATTTTCATCTGTGATGTGATAAGGTACAGTTTACAATATAATAATGTGGAAGCATCAGAATGGAAATTATGTCAGCAAGCATTAGACTCAACATAGGAAACGATTCAAAAATTATATGGATGGCATTAATTCTACTAAATATAACCTGACCTGTCAGTTATCTGACAAATAAATCTTGCACTAATATTAATAAAAAATGTCATGGTTTGGATGCTCTACTATGTGCCACAATTTCTACATAGATCAGCATTGATCTTCACAAAACAAAATGAAGTAAATATTATCTCCATTTTACATATAAGGAAATGAACTCTGAGAAAATAAATGACTCATCCAGGACCCAAAGTGGAGTCAAAACTTAAACCCCAATATCTCTTTTTCTAAAATTCTCTGTTTTTGATTAAGTCACTGTTATGGGTTGAATTGTGTCCCTCAAAAATGATATGTTGAAGGCCTAACCCACAGTACTGCAGAATGTGTTGTAAATATAATTAGTTAAAATATGGTCATATTGGGTAAAGGGACTCTTAATTCAATATGATTGGTGTACTGATAAGAAAATGACCATGTGAAGATAGACATATACAGAGAGAACGCCTTGTGAAGATGAAGGTATAATGGAGTGTTGCAGCTACAAGGCAAGAAGTGCCAGGGCTTGCTGACTGTCTTCAGGAGCTAGGTGGAAGATATGGAATAGATTCTCCCTCAGAGCCTTCAGAAGGAACCAACCTTCATGACATCTTGATTTCAGACTTCTAGCCTGCAAAACTGTGAGAAAATATATTTCTTCTCTTTTATGCCACCCAATTTGTGATACATTATTAGTTCTGCCCTATGATGTTAATACAGGATGACTACCATAGTAAACAAAACAATAGACCTTTCAACAGTGTTCTGTGACATCATTTCATATAAGTTATTTTCCACTCTCTCCATGTTATATATGCAATAAAAGTAATTCGTCATGCTTCAAGCTTCAGAAATTATTTCAGCTTCAGGGGACTTCTGAGATTATAGGTAAATATCTCTGCCAATTCAAAAATCTCTCTTATTTCATGAGTGATCAATGATGTGCCAGGGTTGCATTGCCCAGGAAATCAGATAATCAGTCGAAGAGATAGAGATAACACCAAGATTGGCATAACTTACAAACTTCTGTTTTTGTGGTTCTAAAATACCTTTTGACAAGACACATGGAATCAACATGATTTGAGAAAATCAAGGATTGTATTTAAAACAGATATCATTTGTTTTCAATAAGTGACAACCTCATGAACTTGCATTTGTACAGAGCTATGTATTTTATACCAAGTTCACTCTATTAAAAAAAAACAAAGTTAATCTCATTTAAGTAAAAAGTAGAACAGAGGACACTAAAGGCTGGGAAAGGTAGGGGAAAGGAGGAGATAAGGAGAAATTTGTTAAAGAATACATAATTACAGCTAGATAGAAGAAATATTAGGTTGGTGCAAAAGTGATTGTGGTTTCTGCCATTACTTTCTTTTTTTAAAATTATACTTTAAGTTCTGGGATACATGTGCAGAATGTGCAGGTTAGTTACATAGGTATACATGTGCCATGGTGGTTTGTTGCACCCATCAAGTCGTCATCTACATTAGGTATTTCTCCCAATGCTATCCCTCCCCTAGCCTCCCATCCCCCAACAGGCCCCGGTATGTGATGTTCCCCTCCCTGTGTCCATGTGTTCCCATTGTTCAACTCCCATTTATGAGTGAGAACATGCAGTGTTTGGTTTTCTGTTATTCTGATAGTTTGCTGAGAATGATGGTTTCCAGTCTGCCATTACTTTCAATGGCAAAATGGTAGGATGACTATAGTTAACAACAATGTATTACATAGTTTTAAATAGATAGAAGGAGGATATTGAACATTCCCAGCATAAAAAATAATACGTTTGAGGCTGGGCACTTTGGCTCACTTCTGTAATCCCAGCACTTTGGGGGCCTGAGGTGGTTGGATCATTTGAGGTCAGGAGTTCAAGACCAGCCTGGCCAACATGGGAAACCCCGCTTCTACTAAAAATGCAAAAATTAGTCAGGCGTGGTGGTGAGTACCTCTAGTCCCAGCTACTCGGGAGGCTGAGGCTAGATAATTGCTTGAACCTGGGAGGCAGAGATTCCAGTGAGCCAAGATAGCACAACTGCACTACAGCCTGGGTAACAGAGCAAGACACTGTCTCAAAAACAATAATAATAATAATACATGTTTGAGATGATGAATATGCTAATTACCTTGATCTGATCACTATATATTATATGCATTGAAACACCACTATGTACCCCATGAATATGTACAATTATTTTCAATTAAAAATTAAATATATATATTTATCTAAAATATGTGCTTTTGAATGCATAATACTATGTTACATAAATATTGTCATTTTAAATAATATAAAATGTCAATATTCAGAAAAAGTAATAGCCATGGGCCAGGTGTGGTGGCTCACGCCTATAATCCCATCACTTTGGGAGGCCGAGGCAGGTGGATCACAAGGTCAGGAGTTTGAGACCAGCCTGGCCAACATGGTGAAACCCTTTCTCTACTAAAAATACAAAAATTAGCTGAGCACGGAGGCACACACCTGTAATCACAGCTACTTGGGAGGCTGAGGCAGGAGAATTGCTTGAACCCAGGAGGTGGAGGTTGCAGTGAGCCAAGATCCCGCCATTGCACTCCAGCCTGGGTGACAGGGTGAGACTCCATCTCAAAAAAAAAAAAAAAAAAAAAAAAAAAAAAAAACAGCCATGCAGTTGGTAAAATTCATGCCATAAGAAATAAACATTGTTTTGGGTTAAAGGTGATCTTTATTATTTGGAGAAAATTTTAAGCACACAGCAAAGCATAAAAAGGGAAATAAAAATTACCACTAATCCTATTATATGAAGTACAATTAACATTTTATTTTAGATCATTCTAGTCAATTGTGTGAGTGTATGCACATAAGAGGGTAAGAGACATAACTGGAATCCTTTTATATTTGTATTATTTTACCCTGATTTTTCACTCAATGTTTAATCATGAGAATTTTGTTTATCATAAAATATTATAAAATATAATATATAATGACAACATGGTGTTCTAACAGATGATTTTATCATGTTATTTTTTAAATCCCTTAATCTGGTACTTTTATGTTGTTTCAAATTAGTTACCAATTATAAATGATTTTGTAAGGATTATCTTTTATATAAATCTTTGTGCACAACACTGATAATTTCCTCAGGATAAATTGTAAAAGTGGAATTTCTGAGTAATTTTACCACATATTACCAAATTACTTTCTAAAAAAGTTGAATCAATTTGCACTCCAGTTAGTAGTGTATAAAGTTGTTTTACTCTATCATTATCACATTGGATCTTAAGTTTTAAAATTTAAGTTTATATTCATTAATAAAAATTATATAAGTGTTTTAAAAGTAAGACTTCAGGTGGCTGGCAAGATGGCTGAATAGGAACAGCTCCAGTCTGCAGCTCCCAGCAAGGTCAAGGCAGAAGGCAGTTGATTTCTGCATTTCTAACTGAGGTACATGGCTTGTCTCATTGGGATTGGTTAGACAGTGAGTGCAGCCCTCTTGGAGGGTGAGCAAAATCAGGGTGGGGCACCACATCACCCGGGAAGTTCAAGGGGTCGGGAGACTCCCTCCCCTAGCCAAGAAAAGCCATGAAGGAGTGTGCCGTGAGGATTGGTGCATTCCAGATCAAATACTACGCATTTCCCATGGTCTTCAAAATCCGCAGACCAGGAGATTTCCTTGGGTGCCTACACCACCAAGGCCCTGGGTTTCAAGCACAAAACTGGGCGGCCTTTTGGGCAGACACCAAGCTAGCTGCAGGAGTTTTTTTACACCCCAGTAGCACATGAAATGCCAGCAAGATAGAAGCGTTCATTCCGCTGGAAAGGGGGCTGAAGTCAGGGAGCCAAGAGGTCTAGCTCAGTGGATCCCACCCATATGGAGCCCAGCAATCTGATATCCACTGGCTTGAAATTTTCGCTGCCAGCACAGCAGTCTGAAGTCCACCTGGGACTCTCGAGCTTGGTGGAGGGAGGGGTGTCTGCCATTACTGAGACTTGAGTAGGCATTTTTCCCCTCACAGTGTAAACAAAGCCACCAGGAATTTCGAATGGGGTGGAGCCCATCACAGCTCAGCAAAGCCTCTGTAGCCAGACTGCCTCTCTAGATTTCTCCTCTCAAGGAAGGGCATCTCTGAAAGAAAGGCAGCAGCCTCAATCAGGATCTTACAGATAAAACTCCCATCTCCCTAGAACAGAGCACCTGGGGGAAGGGGCGGCTGTGGGTGCAGCTTCAGCAGACTTAAATGTTCCTGCCTGCCGGCTCTGAAGAGACCAGAATATCTCCCAGCACAGCACTCGAGCTCTGCTAGGGGACAGACTGCCTCCTCAAGTGGGTCCCTGACCCCCATGCCTCCTGACTGGGAGACACCTCCCAGCAGGGGTTGACAGACACTTCATACAGGAGAGCTCTGGCTGGCATCTGGCAGGTGCCCCTCTGGGACGAAGCTTCCAGAGGAAGGAACAGGCAGCAATCTTTTCTGTTCTGCAGCCTCCTCTCGTGACACCCAGGCAAACAGGGTCTGGAGTGGATCTCCTACAAACTCCAGCAGATCTGCAGCAGAGAGGCAGGAAAACTAAAAAACAGAAATGAATAGCATCAACATCAACAAAGAGGACGACCACATAAAAACCCTATTTGAAGGTCACCAGCATCAAAGACCAAAGGTAGCTAAATCCAAGAAGATGTGAAAAAAACAGTGCAAAAGGCTAAAAAATCCAAAAAACAGAATGCCTCTTCTCCTCCAAAGGATCACAACTCCTCACCAGCAAGAGAACAAAACTAAACAGAAAACGAGTTTGATGAATTGACAGAAGTAAGCTTCAGAAGGTGGGTAATAACAAACTCCTCCAAGCTAATGGAGCATGTTCTAACCCAATGCAAGGAAGGTAAGAACCTTGAAAAAAGGTTAGAGGAATTGCTAACTAGAAGATCCTGTTTAGAGAAGAACCTAAAGGACCTGATGGAGCTGAAAAACACAGCATGAGAACTTCATGAAGGATACACAAGTATCAATAGCCGAATCGATCAAGTGGAAGAAAGGATATCAGAGATTAAAGATGAACTTAATGAAATAAAGCATGAAGACAAGATTAGAAAAAAAAAGAATAAAAAGGAAAGAACAAAGCCTCCAAGAAATACGGAACTTTGTGAAAAGACCAAATCTATATTTAATTGGTGTACCTGAAAGTGACGGGGAGAATGGTCGACTGAACAAAGTTGGAACAACTCCAGGATATTATCCAGGAGAACTTTCCCAACCTACCAAGACAGGCCAACATTCAAATTCAGGAAATAGAGATAACACTACAAACACTACAAAGATACTCCTCGAGAAGAGCAACCCCAAGACACGTAATCATCAGATTCACCAAGGTTGGAATGAAGGAAAAAATGTTAAGGGCAGCCAGATAGAAAGGTCTCATTACCCACAACAGGAAGCCCATTGGACTAACAGCAGATCTCTTGTCAGAAAACCTTCAAAGCAGAAGAGAGTGGGGACCAATATTCAACATTCTGAAAGAAAATAATTTTCAACCCAGAATTTCATATCCAGCTAAACTAAGCTTTATAAGTGAAGGAGAAATTAGATCCTTTACAGACAAGCAAATGCTGAGAGATTTTGTCACCACCAAGCCTGCCTTACAAGAGCTCCTGAAGAAAGCACTAAATATAGAAAGGAAAGACCAGTATCAGCCACTGAAAAAACATACCAAATTGTAAAGACCATTGACACTATGAAGAAACTGCATCAACTAACGGGCAAAATAATCAGCTAGCATCATAATGACAGGATCAAATTCACACATAATAATATTAACCTTAAATGTAAACAGGCTAAATGCCCCAATTAAATGATATAGACTGGCAAATTGGATAAAGAGTCAAGACCTCAAGACCCATCGGTGTGCTGTATTCAGAAGACCCATCTCACATGCAAAGACACACATAGGCTCAAAATACAGGGATGGAGGAAGATCTACCAAGCAAATGCAAAGCAAAAAAAAAAAAAAGGCAGGATTGTAATCTTAGTCTCTGATAAAACAGATTTTAAACCAACAAAGATAAAAAAGACAAAGGAAAGCATTACATAATGGTAAAGGGATCAATGCAACAAGAAGAGCTAACTATCCTTAATATATATGCACTCAATCCAGGAGCACCCAGATTTATAAAGCAAGTTCTTAGAGACCTACAAAGAGACAGACTTCCACACAATAATAGTGGGAGATTTTAACACCCCACTGTCAATATTAGACAGATCAACAAGACAGAAAATTAACAAGGATATTCCAGACTTGAACTCAGCTCTGGACCAAGCAGACCTAACAGACATCTACAAAACTCTCCACCCCAAATCAACAGAATATACATTCTTCTCAGCACCACATCACAATTAATCTAAAATTGACCACATAATTGAAAGTAAAACACTCCTCAGCAAATGCAAAAGAATGGAAATTATAACAAACAGTTTCTCAGACCACAGTTCAATCAAATTAGAACTCAGGATTAAGAATCTCACTCAAAACCGCACAACTACGTGGAAACTGAACAACCTGCTCGTGAATGACTACTGGGTAAATAACTAAATTAAGGAAGAAATAAAGATGTTCTTTGAAACCAATGAGAACAAAAACACAATGTACCAGAATTTCTGGGGCACAGCTAAAGCAGTGTTTAGAGGGAAATTTATAGCACTAAATGCCCACAGGAAAAAGCAACAAAGATTTAAAATCAACAACCTAACATCACAATTAAAAGAACTAGAGAAGCAAGAGCAAACAAATTCAAAAGCTAGCAGAAGGCAAGAAATAACTAAGATTGGAGCAGAACTGAAGGAGATAGAGACATGAAAAACCCTCCAAAAAATCAATGAATCCAGGAGATGGATTTTGGAAAGATTAACACAACAGATAGAAAGCTAGCCAGACTAATACATAAGAAAAAAGAGAAGAATCAAATAGACACAATAAAAAATGATAAAGGGGATATCACCACTGATCCCACAGAAATACAAACTACCATCAGAGAATACTATAAACACCTCTACACAAATAAACTAGAAAATCTAGAAGAAATTTATAAATTGCTGGAAACATACAGCCTCTGAAGACTAAACCAGAAAAAAGTTGAGTCCTGAATAGACTAATAGCAAGTTCTGAAATTGAGGTAGCAATTAATAGCCCATCAACTGAAAAAAGCCCAGGACCAGTTGGATTCACAGCTGAATTCTACCAGAGGTATAAAGAGGAGTTGGTACCATTCCTTCTGAAACTATTCCAAACAATAGAAGAAAAGGGGACTCTTCTCTAACTCATTTGATGAGGCTAGCATCATCCTGATACCAAAACCTGCCAGAGACACAACAAAAAAAAGAAAATGTTAGGCCAATATCCCTGATGGACATCGATGCAAAAATCCTCCATAAAATACTGGGAAACCAAATCTAGCAGCACATCAAAAAGCTTATCCACCACCGTCAAGTCGGCTTCATCCCTGGGGTGCAAGGCTGGTTCAACATACACAAATCAAGAAATGTAATCCATCACATAAACAGAGCCAATGAAACAAACCCCATGACTATCTCAACAGATGCAGAAAAGGCCTTCAATAATATTTAACACACCTCATGCTAAAAACTCTCAATAAACTAGGTATCGATGGAGTGTATCTCAAAATAATAAGAGCTATTTATGACAAATCCACAGCCAATATCATACTGAATGGGCAAAAGCTGGAAGCATTCCCTTTGAAAACTGGCACAAGACAAAGATGCTCTCTCTCACCTCTCCTATTCAACATAGTATTGGAAATTCCGTCCAGGGAAATCAGGCAAGAGAAAGAAAGGAAGCGTATTCAAATAGGAAGAGAGGAAGTAAAATTGTCGCTGTTTGCAGATGTCATGACTGTATATTTAGAAAACCCCATGATCTCAACTCAAAATCTCCTTTGCTGATAAGCAACTTTGGCAAAGTCTTAGGACACAAAATTGATGTGCAAATATCAAAAGCATTCCTATACACCAATAATAGTTAAACAGAGAGCCAAACCATGAGTGAACTCCCATTCACAATTGCTACAAAGAGAATAAAATACAACTTACAAAGGATGTAAATGACCTCTTAGGAGAACTAAAACCACCACTCAAGAAAATAAGAGAGGACACAAACAAATGGAAACATATTCCATGCTCATGAATAGGAAGAATTAATATTGTGAAAGTGGCCATATTTCCCAAAGTAATTTATAGAATCAATGCTATCCCCATTAACCTACCACTGACTTTTTTCACAGAATTAGAAAAAAAAAACTACTTTAAATTTCATATGGAACCAAAAAAGTGCCCTTCCAACATGACTGGCCCTTATTTGTGCCAGCTTCTTATTTGGATTACAGTTTCATACTGGGAGAGGCAGACAAATGGCATTCCTCATCTTTCTTTCCAGTCCTGCGTTGCAAAAGCTCTATTCCATGTACTCCCACAGAAAGCTGGATCTCCTTTATCCGAAACTTTCATAAGGCGGAAGTTCTAAATTTGGTGTTGCTGGCCAAGATTACTGTGGCTCTGATTATCTATGCCCCAGGTCACTGATAGAATAAGAGTTCTAAACCAGGAGGAGCAAGCCAAGAAGACCAGGGTTTGCTATATCCTCCAAGAGACCAGTCATAGAATGAGGGTGATACTCTGGGAACATTGGGTTACTACTATGAGCTCCTATGCAGTACCTCAGAGGTTTTTTTCCATGGGGAAAGGCAGTTCATTAGTATGGAGAGCTCTCAAGTTCTGACTGACAGTTCAACCATTGTGGAAGACAGTGTGGCGATTCCTCAGGGATATAGAACTAGAAATACCATTTGACCCAGCCATCCCATTACTGGGTACACACCCAAAGGATTATAAATCATGCTGCTATAAAGACACATGCACACGTATGTTTATTGCAGCACTATTCACAATAGCAAAGACTTGGAACCAACCCAATTGTCCAACAATGATAGACTGGATTAAGAAAATGTGGCATATATACACCATTGAATACTATGCAGCCATAAAAAATGATGAGTTCATGTCCTTTGTAGGGACATGGATGAAGCTGGAAACCATCATTCTCAGCAAACTATCGCAAGGACAAAAAACCAAACACCGCATGTTGTCACTCATAGGTGGGAATTGAACAATGAGAACACATGGACACAGGAAGGGGGACATCACACACCGGGGCTTGTTGTGGGGTGGGGGGAGGGGGGAGGGATAGCATTAGGAGATATACCTAATGCTAAATGACGAGTTAATGGGGGCAGCACACCAACATGGCACATGTATACATATGTAACTAACCTGAACGTTGCGCACATGTATCCTAAAACTTAAAGTATAATAAAAAAAAAGAAATGACTTAAGTTTGAATTGAATAGAGAATTCCATGGTAAAAGTGTTATCAAAATAATGGAGATTTTGATGTAGAAGAAATAAAAGCAGGCCAGTAGCTCTAATACAAGGAAAATGTCAGAACATTCAGAAACTTAATAGGAAGAATCAGACAATAAAGACAGGTGAAATGAGTCCTTCTGGGAAGACAGTCAATTTTGGGTTTTGCAAAAGCTGTACATATATTCTGGACTGTACTACTCAGAAGAAATCAGAGAAAAATATGGGGCAGACTTGAAAGCATACCAAAGCCACACTACCTATCAACAAAAGGCTGAAACCTCACTAGCAAAAGAGACTTAAACACAACCTCTGAGCAAAAACTGACTGAAGAATAAACTACTCAGACCAAGATGCAAATCCGAAAAAGTCAGTCTTAAGCATAATAACACTGTAATTCCTGGCAGTCTAAAAGACTGCACATTACCAAGGTTTTATTCTCTCAGAAGTGATGAGAGAAGGAGTGTGTATGCTACTGGTTCCTGGCTGAATGTAGAACAAAAATACCTTAATTTTTGAAAAAGTAATAGCATCATCCAAACCAAACAGACATCCAGTGGTAAAGGGTAAAAATATCATTGGCCAATTGGGTTAAACAAAACTTTTGTCAATAAGTGGCTTATGGTAATCCAAGGGCAACCCATAGTTAGGAAGGCTAAACTGTTAAACAAAAAGTAAAATGCAAAATATTAAACAAAAAGTAAAATGTCTGAACCAGAACAAAAAAGCTGCACAGTGTGGAAGAGAAATACTGTACAGAATTACTTTAGTTATATCTAGAACAAATAAATAAATGACCAAACAAACAAGCAACAAGCCAACAATAAAACAAAAAATTCAGGGGAGGAGAATAGGTATCCAGGATTGCTACAATATATTATTAATTCATTTAATTTTCAATGAGAAGACCCACACATACAAAGAAACAGGAAAGTGAAACCCATTCACAAGAAAAAAAAGGCAGGCAATAGAACATGCCCTTGAAGGGGCCTAGATGGTGAATTTAGTAAACAAAACCTTAAAAGTAGGTTCTATACATATGTTCAAATAACCAAAAACTAATGCTTAAATAATTAAGTGAAGGTATGATAATAATGTCTCATCAAAAAATACATCAATAAAGAGACAATATTAAAATGAACCAAATAAAAAACCTTGAGTTGAAAAGCATGGTAAGCAAAATAAAAAATTTACCACAGGAGGCCAAAATAAGAATTTAACTTGCAGAAGAAATAATCAAGAATTTTAAAGATAGATTACTAGGTTATGCATTCTGAAGAATATAAATAAAGAAAATTAAGAAAATAAAGAGTCTCATAGAAATGTGGGACACCATTAACTGCAACAACATATGTGTAGTGAGAATCCCAGAGAGAACAGAAAGAAAGTGTTAGAAAAAGTATTTGAAAAGAAAATGGCTGAAAACTTCCCAAATTTGACTCTAAAAAATTAATCTACACATTCAAAAAAAAAAAAAAAAAGCAAGCTCCATGTAAGACAAAGGTAAAGAGCTCTATACCCAAAAACATTATACTAAGAATACTTAAAACCAGCAATTAAGAGAACATCTTGAAAGCAGCAAGAAAATAAACACTTGCCACATGCAAATGAACCAAAATAAGATTAACAGCTGTCTTGATGTCAGAAACCAAGATCTGAAGGCAGTAAAATAACATATTCAAAATGGTGAAAGTAAGACAAAACTAAACAAAAAAAATACCCCTGTAAATCAAAAATCTTATATCCAGCAAAACTTTCAAAAATGAAGAAAAAAATAAATACATTTTCAGATATACAAAAACTGAGAAAATTATTTGCTACCAGGCCTGGCATATAAGAAATATTACAGGGAGAGGTAGGGGAAGATGGCAGAATAGAAGACTCCAGCAATCATCAAACATGCACACCAATTTAAGAACTATCTACACACACACACACATACACACACACACACAAACCATCTTTATAAAAACCAAAAGTCAGGTGAACCCTTGTAGTTCCTGGTGTTAAATTCCTATCACTGAAAGAGAAACTGAAGAGGTAGAAAAAGTCTTGAATCACTGATGCCAAACCTCCCTCACTACTCCCACCCCCATGCAATGGCAGCATGGTGCCGAGAACATCTCTGGAAACTGGGAGAGGAAGAGCACAGAAACTGTGAGGCATTAATCTCAGTGCTGGCCTATTAGAGAAGAAAGAAAAACCAGGTGAAACTCAGCTGATGCCTACCCACAGAGGGAGCATTTGAACCAGCCCTAGCCAGGGAGGAATCACCGATCCTAGTTGTCATAACCTGAGTTTCTGCAAACACTTCCACTGAGGGCTACAGTGCTCTGGGTCTCTAAGTAAACTTGTAAACTTGAAAGGCAGTCTAGACCATAAGGACTGAAACTCTTAAGTGAATCCTAGTGCTAAACCAGGCCCAGAGACAGTGAAATGGAAGGGAATATGACCTACTGAGACACCAGCTGGGCTTGCTAATGGAGAGCTATCAACACCCTTCCCCTAGCCCCAGGCTGCACAGCTTCTGGCTCCAAAAGAGACCCTTTCCTTCTGCTGAGAAGATGAGAGGGAAGAGTGAGGAGGACATTGTCTTACATCTTACATACCAGCTCAGCTGCAGCAAAATAGGGCACTGGTCAGAGTTGACAGGCCCCTGTTTGAGCCCCTTGCTCCCAGACAATATTTCTACACACCCTAGGCCAGAAGGAAATTCACTGCCTTAAAAGGAAGAACCCAGTCCTGCTAGCACTCATTACCTGATAACTGAAGACCTTTTGGGCTCTCAATAACTGCAGCAGTACACAATTACTGCACTGAGGACCTTGGTTCAGCTTCTGACAGTTGGTGGCTTCAGGTAAAAATCAGCACATTACTAGCTGTTGTGGCTACAGAGTGAAACTTCTCTGCTTGAGAAAATAAGAGAGATAAGTAAAGAAGACATCGTCATGCATGTTAGGTACCAGCATGGCCACAGTGGGGTAGAGCACCAAGCAGGTTCTTGTATTCTTTAATATCAAGACTTTACCCTTGGATGGCATTTCTCAGCCTGCCTTGGGCCAGAGGTCGGGGAGCCCACTGCCCCAAAGGATGAGTCCCAGGCTAGGCAGTATTCACCATAAGCTGACTTAAGAGCCCTTGGGCCTTAAGGGAACATCAGCAGTGGTCTGGCAGCACTTCCCATGGCCTGTGGTGTTGGGGGGTATGGGGTGAGGCTCCTCTGCTTTTGAAAAGGGGAGTGATAAGTGGGAGAAACTGCATCTTTTGGTTTGAGTGCCAGCTCAGACACAGCACAATAGAATACCAGGTTGACTTCTAAGGTTTTGGACTCTAGACCTTGACTCCTAAATGGCACCTCTGGCACACCTGTGGCCTGGGGGGACTTGTTGTCTTGAAAGAAAGGACACAGGCTTGGCTGGCTTTGACACCTGATAATTGTAGAGCCCAAGGGCCTCTAGCAAACATAGGAACTAGCTAGGGGGTGGTAACAGCATGCCTTGAGTGAAACTCAGTGCTGTGCTAGTTTGAGGTCTGATGTAGTGCAGTCAGAGTGGTGGTGGCCACAGGGGTGCTTGGTGTCACTCCACCCCCAACTTTAGGTGGCTTACCACAGAGAGAGAAACTTTATTATTTTTATTTATTCATTTATTTTTGCCAGGGGAAAGAAAGGGAGGATAACAATAATCTCTGTCTGTTAATCCAGAAAATTCTTCTGAATTTTGTCCAAGATCTACAAGGTGGTATCACTAACAGTCTGCAAAACCCATAGTGTTACTGGGATTGTGGTGCCCCCTAAACTGGATACAGCTTAGATCACAGCACCCAAGTTCTTCTAGGTATCTGGAAAGCCTTCCCTGGAAGGATGGGTACAAATAAGCCCATATGGTGAAGACTACAATAAATACCTAATTCTGCAATACACAGACACTGAAGCACATCTAGTAGCATCAACACCATCCAGGAAAGCATGTCCTCACAAAATAAAATAAATAAGGCACGAGGGACCAATCCTGCAGAAAAAAAGATATGTGACTTTTCAGACAGAGAATTAAAAAATGCTGTATGCAGAAACTCAAATAAATTCAGGATAACAAATAGAAGTAATTCAGAATTCTATCAAATAAATTTAACAAAGGAATTGAAACAATTCAAAGAATTAAAAAGAAATTCTGGAGATGAAAAATGCAATTGGCATACTGAAGACTGACTGCATCAGAGTATTTTAATAGCAGAACTGATCAAATAGAAGAAAGAATTAGTGAGCTTGAAGACAGGCTGCTTGAAAATACGCAGTTTCAAAAGACAAAGAAACAAGAATAAAAACCAACAAATCATGCCTACAAGATCTAGAAAATGGCCTCAAAATGGGCAAATTGAAGAGTTATTGGCCTTAAAGAAGAGGTAGAGAAAGAGAGAGGAATAGAAAGTATATTTTAATAGACCATAACAGAGAATTTTCCAAACCTAGAGAAAGATGTCAATATCTAAATACAAGAATGTTGTAGAACACCAAGCATATGTAACCCAAAGAAATATACCTCAAGCCATTTAATAATCAAAATTTCAAAGACCAAGAATAAAGGATTCTAAAAGCAGAAAGATAAAAGAAACAAATAACATACAGAGCTTTAATGCATTTTGCAGCAGACTTTTCAGTGGAAACAGTACAGGCCAGGAGAAAGCAACATGAAATATTTAAAGTGCTGGCCAAAAACAAACAAACAAACAACAATAACAAAAGAACCTTTTAGCCTAGAATAGCATATGCAATGAAAATATTCTTCCCACATGAAGGAGAAATAAAGACTTTTCAGGACAAACAAAACCTGAGGTATTTCATTAATACAAGACCTGTTCTACAAGAAATGCTGAAGGGAAAACTTCAATCAGGAAAAAGAAAATATTAATAAGCAGTAAGTCATTGCCTGAAAATACAAAACTTCACTGGTAATAGTATAAAGAAAAAGCACAGAATGGTATAACCATATAACTGTGCTGTGTAAATTATTCTTATCTTAATTAGAAAAAAATAAATAATAAACCATTAAAAATAGTAACTACAACTTTTAAAGACATAGGCAGTACAATGAGATATAAATGGAAACAACAAAAAGTTAAAAAGCAGCTACACAAAGTTAAGATGTACAGGTTTTATTAGTTTTTTTAAATATTTGTTTATGCAGATTTTGCTATGTTGTTATCAGCTCAAAATAATAGGTTATAAGATATTATTTGTAAGCCTCATGATAACTTCGAACCAAAAAAAATACAACAGATACACAAAAAATAAAAGGCAAGAAACTGAATCTTATCACAAAAGAAAATTACCTTCACTAAATTAAGACAGAAAAGAAGGAAGAGATCATAAACTAACAAGAAAACAAATAACAAAATGGCAGGAGTAAGTCTTTACATTCAATGTTATCAATAATAACATTGAATGTAAATGGACTAAACTCTTCAATTAAAAGAAATAAACTGGCTGATCAGATGAAAAAACAGACTTATTGATCTTTTGCCTACAAGAAACACACTTCACCTTTAAAGACACAGATAGGCTGAAAATAAAGGGATAGAAAAAGAAATTACATTCAAATAGAAACCAAAAAAAGCAGAAGTGGCTATACTTATATAAAAAAACAGATTTCAAGACAAAAACCATAAAAAGAGATTTAAAATGTTGCTATATATTGATAAAGGGGTCAATTCAGAAATAAGATATGACAATATTAATTATATATGCACCAAACACTGCAGCGCCCTGATATATAAAGGAAATATTATTAGAGCTAAAGAGAGAGATAAGACCCAACACAATAATAACTGGAGACATCAATGCCCCACTTTCAGCATTGGACAAATCAATTAGACAGATAATCTACCAAGAAACATCAGACAAGCTGCACTATAGACTAAATGGATTTAATAGATAACTACAGAACATTTCATCCAATGGCTATGGACTACACTTTTTTTTTCACAAGAACATGGATCATTCTTAAAGAAAGACCATATGTTAGGTCACAAAGATAGTCTTAAAACATTCAAAAAATTGAAATAATATCAAGCATCTTCTCTGACCACATGGAATAAAACTAGAAATCAATTACAAGATAAATTTTGGAAACTATAAAAATACATGGAAATTAAACAAATATGCTCCTGAATTACCAGTGGGCCAATACATAAATTGAGAAAAAAATGAAAAATTTGAAACAAGTGATAATGGAAACATAACATCCCATAATCTGAGGAAGCATAGCAAAAAAGTAAAAGAAACAAAAGAAAAAATAAAGCATGCCCAAATTTAAAACCTATTAGATACAGCAAAAGCAGTACTAAGGAAAAGGTTTATAGCTATAAGTATCTCCATCAAAAAAGATGAGGAACTTCAAATAAATAATGTAACAATGCTTCTTAAATAACTAGAAAAGCAAGTGCAAACCTACCCCAAAATTAATAGAAGAAACAAAATAATAAAAGCAGAAATAAATGAAATTAAAGTGAAGTAAACAATAGAAAACATCAATGAAAAAAATTGGTTTCTGGGAAAGTTAAACAAAATTTACAAGCCTTATTCAGACTAAGAAACAGATATGATCCAACTAAATAAAATAATAGATAAAAATGGAGGTATGACAACTGATACTGCAGAAATTCCAAAAATTATTACTGGTTATTATGAGCAACTATATGCCAATACATTGGAACATCTAGCAGAAATGGACAAACTCTTAGACATGTACAACCTACCAAGGTTGAACCAGGAAGAAAGCCAAAACCTGAACAAATATTGATAACAAGACATGAGAGCAAAGCCACAATAAAAAGCCTCCCATATAAGAAACACCAAGGACCCAAAGGATTTACTGCTGAATTCTTCCAAAGAACAACAAATTTATTCAAAGAATAACGAATACCAGGCCTACTCAAATCATTCTGAAAAATGGAGTAAGTAGGATTACTTCTGAACTAATGTTATGAGGCCAGTCTTATCCTGATAACAAAATGAGACAAAGGCATATCAAGAAAGAAAACTACACACCAACATCCTTGATCAATATTGATGCAAGAATTCTCAACAAAATACTAGCAAACCAAATTCAACAGTAAAATAGAAAAATCATTTATTATAACCAAGTCAGATTCATTCCTGCAATGCAAGGATGATTTAATATACACAAATGAATCCATGTGATACATCATATTAAAAGAATAAAGGATATAAAGCATATGATAATTTCAATTGATGCTGAACAAACATTTAATAAAATTCAACATCTTTTCTTTATAAAAAACAAAAAAGACCATTATTAAATGTTCATGGATTAAAAGGATTATTCTTGTTAAAATGTTGATACCACCCAAAGCAATCCACAGATTCAATGCAATCCCTATCAAAATAACAATGACATTCTTCACAGAAATAGAATAATCCTAAAATTTATATGGAATTAATAAACAACCAAAAAAGCCAAAGCTTGTCTAAGAAAAAAAACACATGAAGGAATCACATTACCTAACTTCAAATTATACTATGGAGCTATAGTAACCAAAACAGCGTGTTCTGGCATAACAACACACATACACCAGTGGAACAGAATATACAACCCAGAAAAATAATCCACACACCTACAGTGAATTCATTGTCTACAAAGGTGTCAAGAAAACATACTGGGGAAAAGACAGTTTCTTCATTCAATGGTGCTGGAAAAACTAAATATTCATATGCAGAAGAATGAAACTAGACCCACATCTTTCATGGCATACAAAAATCAAATCTAAATTAATTTTAGACTTAAATCTCAGACCTCAAACCATAAAATTACTACAAGAAAACTTTCAGGAAAGTCTCTAGTACATTGGTCTGGGCAAAAATTTCTTTGGCAATACCCCACAAGCGCAGGCAACCAAACCAAAAATGGAAAAATGGAATCACATCAACTTAAAAGGTTTCTGCACAACACAGGATACAATTAATAAAGAGAAGAGAAAACCCACAGAAAGGGAGAAAATATTTGCAAATTACCCATCTGACAAGGAAGGGATTAATAACCAGAATATAATAAGGACCTCAAACAATTCTGTAGAAAAAATATAATAATCTGATCAAACATGGGCAAAAGATTTGAATAGACCTTTCTTAAAAGAAGACATAAGAATGGCAAACAGGCATTTGAAAAGATTCTAAACATCACTGATCATCAGAAAAATGCAAATCAAAATGATGAGATATTATCTCACGCCAGTTAAAACGGTTTATATACAAAAGACAGGCAATAACAAATGCTGGCAAGGATGTGGAGAAAAGGAAACTCTTGTACACTGTTGGTGGGAATGTAAATTAGTATAAGTACTGTGGAGAACAGTATGTGTGGAAGTTCTTTCAAAAACTAGAAATTGTGCTACCATATGATTCAGCAATCCTACTACTAGGTATGTATCCCACAAAAAATATCAGTATATCGAAGAGATGTCTGCACTCTCATGTTTGTTGATGCATTGTTCACAATAGCTAAGATTTGGAAGCAATCTAAGTATCCATCAACAGATAAATGGATGAAGAAAATGTGGTACATATACACAATGGAGCACTATGCAGCCATAAAAATAATGAGATCCACTCTTTTGCAACAACATGGATGGAACTGGAGATAATTGTATTAAGTGAAATCAGCTGCACCAGGGGTAAGACTTCTGCCTGCTCCCAGCCCCCAAGAGCCCAGGGAGGCCCAGGTCTATAACCCTGACTTGTGCGGCTGCAGTCACGTTCAGGATGGGGCTGCTGCTTGATCCTGGCTCCTGCTGGTTCCGTGGAGTGTGCAGCCCGGGCCAGCCCCCTTGCAGCACTGTGGGACTATAACATAGAGATTATGTATGTATTATTGATGGCAGAGGTGGGCCATCTGGAGTGGCCCTGCCATCACTCTAGCCTCTGCAGGGAGGATGCCAGAAGGCGGTGGACAGCCCCCGCAGCCCGCTGTACTGGGGGCTGCCACAATGGGTCTGGGCAGGGTTGCCCGCTGGTGGGGGAGAAGCACAGTCAGGCAGAGAGGATCCCTGAAGTGGAGATACACCCGGGATGATGCTGCAGTTGCACATGGAGCACAGGGGCTGGCACAGGGTGCAAAGCTGGGGCCACGCTTCGGGGCCGTGGAAAGTGAGAGAGGCACCCGATTCAGGGATCCAGCCAGTGGTGCAGCCACTGCGCCCACCCCATCTTATCCAAATCAGTTGAAGGCCTTAATAGAAAAAAAGAAAAAAGACAAAACCGGACCTCTCCAGAGGAAAAGAAAATTCTGCCAGCAGAGTACTCTCAAATTTGAACTCTACCGTGGGTCACCAGCCTGCAAGCCTACCCTGCAGATTTCAGAATTGCCAATATCCGCAATCATGTAAGCTAATTTCTTAAATTCTTTTGCTCTCCCTCTTCGTCTTCCTCTCCCTCTCTCAAATAACCAAAATACATGCACCATCATACAGAGTGGTGAAAAACTGAATGTGTTTGCCCAAAGTCAGTAGCAAGACAAGATGTTCATTCTCACCATTTCTATGTAATATTTTACTAGAAGTACTAGTCTAAAAATTAGATAAGACAATGAAATAAAAGGTAGCCAGAGCAAAAAGGAAGAAGAAAAATTATCTCTATTTGCAGTTGACATGAAGTTTTATATAAACATTTCTAAAGAATCCACAAAAAATATTAAAACTAGTAAATGAATTAGCAAAGTTTCACAGTACAAGATGCATATACATATCAAATGTAATTTTATATATTATCAATTAACAATTTAAAAGGAATTTAAGGATAAAATCCATATAAAATATGTTTAAAAAATAAAATTCCTTACTATGCAGCCATAAAAAAAGGATGAGTTCATGTTCTTTGCAGGGACATGGGTGAAGCTGGAAACCATCATTCTCAGCAAATTATCACGAGAACAGAAAAACCAAACACCTCATGTTCTCACTCATAAGTGAGAATTGAACAATGAGGACACATGGACATAGGGAGGGGAACATTACACACTGGGACCTGTCGGGGTGGAGGGCTACGGGAGGGATAACATTAGGAGAAATATCTAATGTAGGTGACAGGTTGACGGGTGCAGCAAACCACCATGGTATATGTATACCTATGTAACAAAACGGCACGTTCAGCACATGTACCACAGAACTTAAAGTATATAAAAAATAAATAAATAAAAAATAAAGTCCTCAAAAGCAAATGTAACAAAAGTAGTACTAGACATGTACATTTAAAAATATAAAATAATATTGAAACAAATTAGATCTAGTAAATGGGAATAGATTCCACGTTCATGTATCAAACTATTTAACATTATTTAGATGCCAATACTCCCCAAATTAATCTACAAAGCCAAAAAAATCCTATCAAAATAACATCTGGCTTCCTTGCAAAAAAAAGGGTAATATAATCCAAAAATTCTTATGGAAAGGCAAATAACTCAGAATAGGCAAAACAAGTTTGAAAAATAAGTATAAAAGTTCAGATGCAAACTTTCTGATTTCATAACAGATTATATAAAACTACATTAAGCAAGACAGTATGTTAATGATATCGAGACAATATATTAGATCAATGGAATAGAATTAAGAGTCCAGAAATAAAACCACAGATTTTTGGTCAATTGATTTTCCACAAAGATGACAAACTATTCAACGGGAAAAGAACGGTCTTTTCAAAAAATACTACTGATACAACTGTATATCCATGTGCAAAATAAATAAATAAGGTTGGACTCACACTATACACAAAAACTAAAGTGTATCAAAGATGTAAACGTAAAAGCTTTTTAGCTCTTTTTTTAACATAAAAATCTTAGAAGGGTATGTATGAACGAATCTTCCTTGACCTTTGATATAGGTAATTGTTTTTTAGGCATAATAGCAAAAAAACTTGTGACAAAAAACAAAATAAATATATTGGACTATATTAAAATTAAAAGCTTTTCTTCTGAAAATTATGGCATAAACAAAACAGCCCTCAAGATGTAAGAAGATATTTGCAAATCATAACTTTGATAATAGATACATGACATATATCCAGAGTAAAATTAGCAATGTTTACAACTCAACAATAAAAACCAAAATAACCCCATTAAAATATGGGCCAAGGATGTAAGTAGAACTCTTTCTAAAGAAGATACACAAATGGCTAATATATACATAGTTTCTATGTATCATTAATCATTAGGGAAACGTAAATGGAAGTCCTGATGGAATTCATCTTCACAGCCATTAGGATGGTTCTAATAAAAAAGGCAGACGGTAAAATGTGTTGGTAGGGATATAGAGAAATTGGGAAGCACACACATTGCTGGTGGGATTATAAAATGGTGAAGCTCCTCAAAATGTTAAAAATTAAAAGTAATTGCAAACATTACTTTTTAATTTGCATTAAGAGTAATAGCAAAAACGCAATTACTTTTGCACCAATGTAATACAATGTTGCCTTATGAGCCAGCAATTCCACTAAATATATACCCATGAGAAATTAGAACATATATCCACAAGAACTTATATGTCAGTGCTTATAGCATTGTTATTCATAACAGGCTCAAAATGGAAAACAGCTCCTATGTCTATAAACGGATGAGTGAAAAAAATGAGGTATACTAATGCACTAGAATGTATTTCATTGAATCATTAATTAATTTATTTTTAATTTTAATTTATTCATTTTTAACTTTTATTTTAGGTTCGTGGGTACATGTGAAGATTTGTTATATAGGTAAACTCATGTCATGGAAGCTTGTTGTACAGATTACTTCGTCACCCAAGTATTAAGTCTAGTACCCATAAGTTTTTTTTTTCTTCTCTCCCTCTTCACAACGTCCACCCTCATGTAGACACCAGTGCCTGTTTCCTTCTTTGTGTTCATGAGTCCTCATCGTTTAGCTCCAACTTATAAATGAGAACATCTGGTATTAGGTTTTCTGTTTCTGCATTAGTTTGCTAAGAATAGTAGCCCCCAGCTTCATCCATGTTCCCACAAAGACATGATCTTGTTCTTTTTTATGGCTGCATAGTATTCCATGGTGTATAAGTACCACATTTTCTTTATCCGGTTTTCCACTGATAGGTGTTTAGATTGACTCCATGTCTTAACTATTGTGAATAGTACTGCATGAACATATGTATGCATATATCTTTATAATAGAACTATTTATATTCCTTTGGGTATATCCCCAGGAATGAGGTTGCTGGGTAAAGTAGTAGTTCTGTTTTCATGGCTCTTTGAAGAGTAGCCACAATTTTTTCCAAAATGGTTGTACTAATTGAAATTCCTATCAACATTGTGTAAACGTTCCCTTTTCTCCACAACCTTAGCAGCATCTGCTATTTTTTGACTTTTTATTAATAGCCATTCTGACTGGTGTGAGATGGTATCTCATTGTGGTTTTAACATTTCTGTAATATTGAACTTTTTGTCATGTGCTTGTTGGCCACAGGTATGTCTTCTTTTGAAATATGTCTATGTCCTTTGACCATTTTTTAATGGAGTGGTTTGTTTTTGTTTTGTAAATTCGTTTAAATTACTCACAGATGCTGGATATTAGACCTTTGTCAGATGCATAGTTTGCAAAGATATTCTTCCATTCTGTAGGTTGTCTCTTTATCTTGTTGATGGTTTATTTTGCTGTGCAGAGGATCTTAAATTTGGTTAGATCTCATTTGTCAATTTTTCCTTTTGTTGTGATTGCTTTTAGTGTCTGTCTTAAAATCTTTGCCTGTTCCTATGTTCAGGATTGTGTTACCTATGTTGTCTTCCAGTTTTTTTTTTATAGCTTTTGGTTTTACAGTTAAGTATTTAGTCCATCTTTAATTGATTTTGGTATATGGTGTAAGAAAGGGGTCTAGCTTCAATCTTCTGCATATGACTAGCCAGTTATCCCAGCACCATTTGTTGAATAGGGAGTCTATTCCACATTGTTTGTTTTTGTGAGCTTTGTCAAAGATCAGATGGTCATAGGTGTACAGCCTTATTTCTGGACTCTCTATTCTGTCCCATTCGTTTACATGCATGTTTTTGTACCAGTACCATGCTTTTTTGGTTACTACAGCCCTATAGTATAGTTTGAAGTCAGGTAGTATGATGCCTCCAGTTTTCTTCTTTTTGCTTAGTATGGCATTGGCTATTCAAGCTCTTTTTCGGTTCCATATGAATATTAAATAGTGTTTTGTAGTTCTGTGAGGAATGTTGTTGGTAATGGGATAAGAATAGCATTTAATCTGTAAATTGCTTTGGGCAGTATGTCCATTTTAATGATATTGATTCTTCCTATCCCTGAGCATTGGATGTTTTTTTCATTTGTTTGTGTCTTCTCTGATT
This sequence comes from Homo sapiens, assembly GCF_000001405.40. Classification (NCBI taxonomy): domain Eukaryota; kingdom Metazoa; phylum Chordata; class Mammalia; order Primates; family Hominidae; genus Homo; species Homo sapiens. Next base: position 82,562,364 of record NC_000023.11, on the reverse strand, counting down.
TCTTTGAACAGTGTTTTGTTATTCTCATTGTAGAGATTTTTCACCTTCCTGGTTAGCTGCAATTCCTAGGTGTTTTATTCTTTTTGTGGCAATTGTAAATGAGACTACCTTCCTGGTTTGGCTCTCTGTTTGGCTGTTGTTTGTGTGTAGAAATGCTAGTGATTTTTTTGTACGTTGATTTTGTATCCTGAAACTTTGCTGAAGTATTTTATCAGCTGAAGGAGCTTTTGTGCTTAGACTATGGGGTTTTCTAGATATGGGATCATGTTGTCTGCAAACAGGAATAATTTGACTTCCTCTCTTCCTACTTGAATGCCATTTTTACTTTCTCTTGCCTGATTGCTCTGGCAAATATATAATTTAATGCTACACATTTTCCTTTAAGAATGGCTAACTTTGCATCCCACAAATTCTGATTATATTTTTGTTTTCATGTAGCTAAAATGATTTTTACATTTAATTTTTTTGAACCACGGGTTATTTAAAAACATGTTAATATTTGAAGTAAATTTTTACAAAATTGATTCATATTTATTGTGGTCTAGAACATACTTTATTTTTTATTTGATACAGTCTTTCAAATGTGTTAAGATGTGTTTTATAGCACAAAATGTGTTCTTTTTAATATTTCATGTGTGTTTTTGAAGAATGTGTATTATGCTCTTTTCATATGGATAATTCTATAACTGCTAAGTGATCAAATTGATTGAAGTGATGCTTAGGCCATCTTTATTCTTACTGATATTTTGCCTGCTTAATCTGTCAGTTACTTACATTGAGTTGTTGATGTCTCCAACTATAAAAGTAGATTTGTCTGTTTATCTTTGCAGTGCCGTCAGTTCTTGCCTCACATACTCTACTTTTTAGGTGTGTACATGTTTTGGATTGTTATATTCTCTTAAAGAATTGACCCTTTATCATTTAAAAATGGCTCTTCATTTCTGATCATTTCACTTTCTCTGAAATCTGCCTTTTCAAAAAATAATATAGCTACTCACACTTTTTTTACACTTATGTAATGTAGATTACAAACTAATAGTGACTTATATATATATTAATGTTATAACCCACTGTGGAAAGTGGCCAACATTATTATCCCAAACAGCCCAAGTTGGTAAAGGCTTTTTAACCAAAGCATTCTCTGAAAACATTAACTTTTGGTAACACGCTTTGTTTTGATAAATGTTAACACTGTATACCTTTCTTTACCTCTTTATTTTTAAATTATCTGTGTCTTTACATTGAAAGTGTCTTTCTTTTAGACATATACAGTTGATTTTGTTCTTTCCCCACTCTGACAATTTCTATCTTTAGTTAGTATGTTTGGACCATCATATTTAAAGTAATTATTTATACTAATATTCTATTTATATTAATATACATGATTGATATATTTCACCCTTATAAATATTTTCTATTCATTTCATTTGTTCTTTGTTTCTTTTTTTCTTCCTCTTTTTTTTTGAGACAGGGTATGTCTTTGTCACCCAGGCTGGAGTGCAGTCATGCAAACATGGCTCACTGCAGCCTTGACCTCGTAGGCTAAAGTGATCCTTCACCTTTGCCCCCCAAGTAACTGGAATTGTAACCACCCAAGAAGTTCACCTTGCTGGCTGCCTAGACAGAGCTTATTTATCAAGGCAGGGGAATTGCTATGAAGAATGTATAATTCACACCGAGCCAGCTGTGTAGGAAAGTGGAGTTTTATTATTACTCAAATCAGTCTCCCTGAACACTCAGAGATCAAGGTTTTAAAGATAATTTGGTGGGTAGGGGCTCAGGAAGTGGGGAGTGCTGATTGGTCAGGTTGGAGATGGAATCATAGGGGGCTGAAGTGACGTTTCCTCACTGTATTCTGTTTCTGGTTGGGATTGCAGAACTGGTTGAGTCAGATTACCACTCTGGGTGGTGTCAGCTAATCCATCTAGTGCAGGGTCTGCAAAATATCTCAAGCACTGACCTTAGGTTCTACAGTAGTAATGTTACCCCCAGGAGCAATTTGGGAAGGTTCAGACTCTTGCAGCCAGAAGCTGCATAACCCCTGAAGCATAATTTCTAATCTTGTAGCTAATTTGTTAGTCCTGCAAAGGCAGATTGGTCCCTAGGCAAGAAAGGGGTCTTTTCAGGAAAGAGCTATTATCAATTTCGTTTCAGAGTCAAACCATAAAAGGAATTCCTTCCCAAGGTTAGTGTGGCCTATGCCCAAGAATAAACAAGAACAGCTTAAAGGTTAAAAACAAGAGGCAGGGCGCGGTGGCTCACGCCTGTAATCCCAGCACTTTGGGAGGGCGAGGTGGGCAGATCACAAGGTCAGAAGATCAAGACCATCCTGGCCAGCATGGTGAAAACCCATCTCTACTAAAAATACAAAAGTCAGCTGGGCGTGGTGGCACGTGCCTATAATCCCAGCTGCTCAGGAGGCTGATTCAGGAGAATCGCTTAAACCAGGGAGTGAGCCAAGATCATGCCACTGCTCTCCAGCCTGGCAACAAATCGAGACTCTGTCTCAAAAAAAAATAAATAATAAAATAAAAAAGAGAAACAAGATGGAGTTGATTAGGTCTGATCTCTATCACTGTCATGATTTCCTCAGTTATAATTTTTTCAAAGGTGGTCTCAATTCCTGCTTTTTCGTTTTATAGCACCTTATTCTTAAGGTATGGACAATGAAGATGGAGAAAGGCTATCAATTGCTCTGGCTTCTTCCTGCTGACAGGGTGCATGGTGGGGGTAGGGGTTGACTCCAAGGTGAGAGACGTGGAACTGTTTTGCAGCTGTCTGAGCTTGCTCACACAGACCAGGCTGGGATTCCAAGGCTTTCATGACAAAGGTGTTAGTATTCTCATCTATAGTTTTAATACAGCATTTAAGTGGACAGTGTACTATAAATACTGAGTTCTAGGATAACGAGTGCAATTTCTGGTTTTAAAATTAAAGATTTAAAGCATTTGTTTGATAACTTGTAGGCAGCCAAAAATATTTAATCTGACTTGTACAGAAAAAAATAAAATAAAGACTCAAAAACAACTAACAACAGGTGTACTATAATTATTGAAACAATTTTTTTCTCCCAGTCTTTATTTTTATTAAAAAAAGTCATTATACTGCTGATTTACTTGCAAAATAAACTTTAGTTTTATTATACTTAGCCTGATTATTTGCATAGAGTGCAGCAAGAGTAATTATTTTTCACATAGGACTTTTAAATTGGCTCTGATGGAACTCTGTTGCATAAGGAATCTCAGATAAGACTTTTTAAGAAACCAAGTCAAGCCATGGGTTTTTACCCTCAAATACCTATGAGTTGGGTAAAAATTCTTCTCCTCTTGAGGTTTCAAGATAACTTGGGGCTCCTGGGCCTGTTAGAAAGTGACATTCTTTACTTACCACAGGTCAGGAACTCTGTATAGGAACTGCATAGACAAGGTATGAGGCCAGTTTTCCCAATGGGCTTTTATTTGCTCTATAAGTCAAATTTGATTCCTTAAAGGACAACACACCATTCTAGTCAAAGACTTGGTAAAATAACCAGTTTCTCCGATTGTGTTCTGTTGTAAAAGAAAACATTCTTATTGCATTTATGCAAATAACTATATTGCCATAATTTAAGAATACTCACATAGTTTCCAAATTCTGGGGAAATCAGATAGAGAGAAGCAAATATGCCTCTAATTTTCTTCAGAGCAGTATACTTTACTCAGTTGTTAAAACCTGTAAATAGCTCAAAAAATAAGTTTCCTTGGCTCTGAAAAAAACAAAAAGGATCAGCAAAGTTTTTAGCAAAACATAAAAGTAAAAAAAAAAAGGTTACTTCAGTTTTCTATCAGCTCAGTCCATTAAGTCAACTCCTGTTCTGCTTGATATTCATGAACATTTTAGCTTTCCATGACAGTCCTGAGAGTTTATTTCCTTTATTCTAATGTCACAATCTCGAGTTATCTAAGAAACTTGCATTCAAGAGCTCCTGTCAATGTTTTATAGCTGATTGTGAAATCATCTTCTAAAGATGACCAAAACAAAACAACACAACAATTGTCTGTGGACGAAAAGAACATTTTAAGGCAGCCACAGTTAGAGACACAATTGACAAGAAAATTTGTTATTTCTGTGGCACACAATAATTTAACATAACAAGTTTAATTATTACTGATAGCATATACTGAGGCATATCAGAATTATAGGAATCTTATACAATTTCATAACACATACTACTAACCTCTTTATACAAATATAACCCATAGAAAGTTAAAAACAATTTTATATTTGATAGTGCTTCCTGTGTTTGAAACACTTGATTTCACAAAATAGAATCCCAGGTCACCATAAGTCATTCATTTAACCAAACTGATAACTCAAAAATTTAAAAAAAGGAGAAACTTTTACTCTGATAGAGAGGGGACTCAGCTTTCCAAACAATAAGACTCAATGAAGATAGTATAAGGCCACCAGAATCTCTCTTCTCTCTCCCTTCATACTTTTTTGTTTAGTTTACTTAAAAGGCAAACAAAAACCTTTCATTATCTTTTAATATTACATAAAAATCATTTTCAAAATAGAAAACCATATTTTATGTTTGCATTTGTGCATCTTTAATGCTAAATTTAGTTTTAATAACATTTTTAGTAACAGTTTTAATTAATTTGATGATAAGGTAAGATTTTCATAAACCTTTTATAAACTTTTACAATTTTTTTTGTTAAACAGCAGAACAATGTTGTAAAAAACTCTGTTATGCTTTTATTCCAATGTTCAATTTATGGAAAAACTGAATAATACTCCTTTAACTTTAGCCAATATATTTATACACCGTAATTTTTAAAATAAACCTACCACAACTTGCTTAAACCTTTATATTTTTTCTGCCTCACTTAACACAACTTAACCCTCTGAACTTAGATGAGAAATTCATATTCCCATGCTTTTATATAATCTTTTATTTTTTATTTTTTATTTTTTTGAGATGGAGTCTCACTCTGTCACCCAGGCTACAGTGCAGTGGCACAATCTAGGCTCACTGCAAGCCCCACCTCCTGGGTTCAAGCGATTCTCCTGCCTCAGCCTCCCTAGTAGCTGGGACTACAAGCGTGCACCACCACACCAAACTAATTTTTGTATTTTTAGTAGAGACAGGGTTTCTCCATGTTGGCCAGGCTGGTCTTGAACACCTGACCTCATGATCCACCCACCTTGGCCTCCCAAAGTGCTGGGATTACAGGCGTGAGCCACTGTGCCAGGCCATCTTTACATGATCTTTTACCAAAAGCACATTCTACTTTCCTTACATGGCTTGTTTGTAAAACTGTTTCTTCAGTAGTCTCACATACATGTTACACTGTTAACTCTTAGCAACTATTACTTTTGGTGAAAAACCTGGTTTGTAAGTGATTTTATTTATGTACCAGGTGTGTAACCCAGGATGCCAGTCAAAAGTGCAGATAAAGTCTGACTCTTTCCAGCATAGCTAAGGGGTGTGGCTAACTCCACATGTTCCCAGGCCTTATCTAGCTGTAAAGCAGGTAGGTTGTACAGTTAAGAGTCATAGTGGCATTTTATGAAACATTTAGGAGGCCTCACAACCTTCAAATTGTACAACATTTCTTGCATAAATTCCCTTTCAGAAATCCTTTCACAACTTACACAGACCATCTGTGACATGCTTAGATTTTCTGACTTGTCCTAAACATCCCGTTTTTTAAAGAACCAATCACTTTATTTTAGGACAAGAATTTACCATACAAGATCCTTTTTTATATAAAATATCTTTTCTTTATAACATTCTTTGCATAGCTAGGGAGCTAATTTCACATGTCCCCAGGCCTTATCTAGCATAAAATGGCACATCTTTCAGATGTGCCAAGAAGTTATAGATTTGGTCTCTTTGCATTATCCCATATTTCTTCAGGGTTTTGTTTATTTTTTAAAATTAATTTTTCTTTATTTTTGTCTGAATGAGTTGATTCAAAGAACTAGTCTTTGAGCTGTGAGTTTCTTTTCTCAGCTTGGTCTATTCTGATCTTAATACTACCAATTGTACTATGAAATTCCCATAGGGAATTTTTCAGCTCAAAAGGTTAAGTTTAGGTCTTTCTTAAAATAGAAATTTCATCTTTCAGCTCTAGAATTATTATAATGATTGCTTGGCTTCCTTGGATTGGGTTTGAACTTTCTCCAGGATCTCCGTGAGCTTCCTTGTAATCCAGATTCTGAATTTCATGTCTGTCATTTCAGTTATCTTAGACTGATTAAGAACCATTGCTGGGGAGCTAGTAGGCTTGTTTGGAGGTAAGGGTACACTCTGGCTTTTTGAATTCACAGAGTTCTTGCACTGATTGTTTCTCATTTGGGAGGGCTGTTGTTCCTTCAGCTGCAGTGCAAATTGAGTACAGTAAGTTGGTTCCATTTCAAGCCTCTATACAAGGTCTTTGTTTTTGAATTTTTGATCTTGGTGTCTCATGGGGGGTGATGTAGCGAAGTGTTTTTTGCTGTTGTTAGTTTGGCCTGTGTTACCTGTAGACAGCACTTAAGAGCAATTGTTGCTAAATAGGCTCTTACTCAACCACGTGGCTCTTTTGTGTTTCCTAATATTTCCAGCTATGTTCCCTTCCCCAGGATCATTCAGGTCCAGGAATCAGCCCTAGCATTCAAGCCCCCCACATAGGGTTCCTCAATTTCTCCCTCTTCAGCCTCAACATATGCCTCTTTTCTCCATTTGCATTTGGCATTTTATCTCTAAAGATCTTCTCAAATTACAGTGGTTTAGTCCAAATCCCAGTCTCTGTCAGTGAGAGTGGCACTTCCTAGCTGCATCTAGTTGGTCATCTTGCCCTTTTTTTCAATTGGACACTTTAAAATGGTTAATTCTGTTATGTGATTTCTTTCTCAATAACATATTTTTAAAAATAAAATATTACGACTAAGGAGAATCTAAAGAGATATTTTAACTAAATATAATGTGGCTTCATGGATGAGATTGGGAAACTGAAAATGGATATTAAGTAAAAACTAAGGAAACCTAAATAAACTATGGCCTTTAATTAATAAAAATACTAAGAACTGGATGGTAGTTGATATTAACATGGAAAAGATGTTAGAACTCAGAGAAAATGTTGGCTCAAAGTAAATATGAATTTCAAGTGAATCCCCGAGCAACAAAAAACAGTTTTTATATTTTTTGGAATGATAATGTAGACTGAAAAATGTGACTATAATAATGAATGTAATTATAATTATTATTAATGTATTGTATTATTAATATAAATTTTTGTGTTTATCCCCAACATCTAGAATAGTGTCAAGTACACAGTAGGTAGTTAATAAACATTTGTAAAATGAATGAATGCATTTATTGTGGTCATTTCTATTTATAAAAATGTACCAGATCAAAAAGGAGCCAAAATAATGTTTTTGACTATCTTTTTTAGCTAATGTAGATTTATTGCACAGCTGGTCCATTTGACTGCTTAGGGATTAGGTAGTAAGATGAGAAAAAGGAAAACAGCAATTTCCACTGAAAAATAACTGATTCATGGCCCTGTCTATTCATAATCTAAGCTTGTTAAATATTCAGTCTGTGAAACTTAATACACAAGGAACAAATTTCAAATGAGGCCCAGGTTTTAACTAGAATGCTAAAAGAAAGCCTTCTTTTGCAGAATAGTACATGGAATAAAGTTCCATTTGTGAAAATAAGAGAATATACATAGATATGTCTGTATAACCCAAGTACAATTTCTGGAAAGTTATAGTTATTTCCCTTAAGGTGTAGAACTGTGCTGGGGGTGAGTTTTACTTCTAATTTCATATCCTTCTATAATGTGTGATTGTCTTTTTACCATGAGCTTGAATTACATTATAGTTTTTAATATTACTAAAAATATGTTTGTCATTATACTTTGCTCTTCATGGAACCTTATAAAAGTTCCACCTTTGAAAGAAGTTGCTCAAGATTCTTTTTCTTCTTTGAGTCTCTATTAAACCACTAAACCATTTAGTTCTCAGAGCTTATCCATATCCTGAAATTATAGCTTAATCTGCCTCATTTTTACAACTTCAAATCTTTTAAATTTTCATTCTTTTATAAGACTTTATGGGCACTATTATTTCAGTAAACACAAAAAAAAACCCTATTCCAGATAAAAGTGAAAAACAAAACAAGGCAAATTTGTATTTTTGTGAAAACTCTGTGTGTAACCACACTCCTCTGTCTATAAAGTACATTCTCATATTTATGAAATTCCTCACGTTTTGAATTTACCCAAATTTACATGGTGAAAAAGTTTATGCAATTTTTAGACATGGAAAAGTTAGTGTTATAATATGCCCTTCAGGAAGGTTGGAGAAATGAAAGCAAAGTCCTAACCACTCATCAGAAATAATAAACATGATTTTAAATACAGGATAATCTCTCTTAAAGTTGTATTGTTTGGTTGCTTCTTTTTAAGGCCATAATATCTTGAATTGTGTGACAGAGCACTGTTAACAATTAACTATAATGATTCTCACTCAATTGAGGTTATTGAAGAGGAAATCCTACATTGAAATTGCAAGTATCTTCCTGCTTTCAGAATCTTTCTTATTCCCCTACAAGAGGGTTATCATTAAAGCTATAGTGAGTTTTCTTTCTAAAATACAACTTTGGTACTCTCACAGCAGAAAACAAACTGTACCAGTTTGCTTGAGACTGAGATAATTTCCATGGCATGGGACTGTCAGTGCTAAAACCAGGATAGTCCCTGGCCAACCAGGACTGTCATTTATCCTGTTTTAAACCTGCTCACAATCAGAATCACTACTCAGTTTTTATAAAATGAAAATTCACATTTTTTAGTCTGGAATACAAGACTTTGTAGTACAAAGTTTCTGCTTAGCTCTTCTGTTTCTTCTAGTGTCTATTCTGGCAGTGTATTAGTCCATTTTCACACTGCTATAAAGAACTTCCCTGAGACTGGGTAATTTACAAAGAAAAGAGATTTAATAGACTTACAGTTTCATATGGCTGGGGAAGCCTCAGGAAACGTGCAATCATGGCAGAAGGCAAAGGGGAAGCAAGCACCTTCTTAACAAGGTGGCAGGATAGAGAGAGAGAGAGAGAGAGAGAGGGCAGGGGAAACCACCACTTATAAAACCATCAGATCTGTGAGAACTCATTATCAAGAGAACAGTACTGGGGAAACTGCCCCCATAATCCAGTCACCTCCCACCAGGTCTCTCCCTTGACACGGGGGGATAACAACTGGAGATGAGATTTGGGTGGGGACATAGAGCCAAACTACATCAGGCAGGTACACTCTAGCTGTACTTTATTATTTCTGGTCAAATATTGCAGCAAATATCATTTGTTTCATGATTCTTTCACATGCCTGTATTGTTTCCCTACCAAGGACGCCTTTCCCCTTTTTCTTTACCTGCAGAATTTATACTCATCCTTCAAGTTTCTTTTTACTGTTTCCATAAAGCTTTTCTTAACTTTCCAATACATTCATTTGCATATAAGCCTCCCACAGCACTTGTGTACATCTCTATTAGGACTCATCACATGGTTTAAATTTTCTGTCTGCAAGACTATCTTTTCTACTAGGATGTAAAATACTACCAGAAACTCAAGAATCTTTTTATTTATTCTGTAACCAAGATATCTGACATGGAGTAGGCATTCAATGGCAAGTTAATTATCTAAGGCAAATGAATTCTTAATTTTACAACATCTATCAGTAACTATTAAAAAAACACCCACTAGTTTTGCACTAGTTGCTGTTGCAAATGAAAAAAAAAACAGTTTAAGATCAAATTTCGGAGGGAGTAGCCAAGATGGCCGAATAGCAACAGCTCCGGACTACAGCTCCCAGCGTGAGCGACACAGAAGACGGGTGATTTCTGCATTTCCATCTGAGGTACCAGGTTCATCTCACTAGGGAGCGCCAGAGAGTGGGCGCAGGTCAGTGGGTGCGCACACCGTGCGCGAGCGGAAGCAGGGTGAGGTATTGCCTCACTCGGGAAGCGCAAGGGGCCAAAGAGTTCCCTTTCCTAGTCAAAGAAAGGGGTGACAGACAGCACCTGGAAAATCGGGTCACTCCCACCCGAATACTGCACTTTCCCGATGGGCTTAAAAAACCGCCTACTAGGAGATTATATCCCACACCTTGCTCAGAGGGTCCTACGCCCACGGAATCTCACTGATTGCTAGCACAGCAGTCTGAGATCAAACTGCAAGCTGGCAGCGAGGCTGGGGGAGGGGCGCCCGCCATTGCCCAGGCTTGCTTAGGTAAACAAAGCAGCCTGGAAGCTCGAACTGGGTGGAGCCCACCACAGCTCAAGGAGGCCTTCCTGCCTCTGTAGGCTCCACTTCTGGGGGCAGGGCACAGACAAACAAAAAGACAGCAGTAAACTCTGCAGACTTAAATGTCCCTGTCTGACAGCTTTGAAGACAGCAGTGGTTCTCCCAGCACGCAGCTGGAGATCTGAGAAGGGGCAGACTGCCTCCTCAAGTGGGTCCCTGACCCCGACCCCTGAGCAGCCTAACTGGGAAGCACCCCCCAGTAGGGGCAGACTGACACCTCACACAGCTGGGTACACCAACAGACCTGCAGCTGAGGGTCCTGTCTGTTAGAAGGAAAACTAACAAACAGAAAGGACATCCACACCAAAAACCCATCTGTACATCACCATCATCAAAGACCAAAAGTAGATAAAACCACAAAGATGGGGAAAAAACAGAGCAGAAAAACTGGAAACTCTAAAAAGCAGAGTGCCTCTCCTCCTCCAAAGGAACGCAGTTCCTCACCAGCAACGGAACAAAGCTGGATGGAGAATGACTTTGACGAGCTGAGAGAAGGAGGCTTCAGACGATCAGATTACTCCGAGCTACATGAGGACATTCAAACCAAAGACAAAGAAGTTGAAAACATTGAAAAAAATTTAGAAGAATGTATAACTAGAATAACCAATATAGAGAAGTGCTTAAAGGAGCTGATGGAGCTGAAAACCAAGGCTTGAGAACTACGTGAAGAATGCAGAAGCCTCAGGAGCCGATGCGATCAACTGGAAGAAAGGGTATCAGCGATGGAAGATGAAATGAATGAAATGAAGCGAGAAGGGAAGTTTAGAGAAAAAAGAATAAAAAGAAATGAGCAAAGCCTCCAAGAAATGTGGGACTATGTGAAAAGACCAAATCTACGTCTGATTGGTGTACCTGAAAGCGACGGGGAGAATGGAACCAAGTTGGAAAACACTCTGCAGGATATTATCCAGGAGAACTTCCCCAATCTAGCAAGGCAGGCCAACATTCAGATTCAGGAAATACAGAGAACGCCACAAAGATACTCCTCGAGAAGAGCAACACCAAGACACATAACTGTCAGATTCACCAAAGCTGAAATGAAGGAAAAAATATTAAGGGCAGCCAGAGAGAAAGGTCAGGTTACCCTCAAAGGGAAGCCCATCAGACTAACAGCGGATCTCTCAGCAGAAACTCAACAAGCCAGAAGAGAGTGGGGGCCAATATTCAACATTCTTAAAGAAAAGAATTTTCAACCCAGAATTTCATATCCAGCCTAACTAAGCTTCATAAGTGAAGGAGAAATAAAATACTTTACAGACAAGCAAATGCTGGAGATTTTGTCACCACCAGGCCTGCCCTAAAAGAGGTCCCAAAGGAAGCACTAAACATGGAAAGGAACAACCAGTACCAGCCGCTGCAAAATAATGCCAAAATGTAAAGACCATAGAGATGAGGAAGAAACTGCATCAACTAACGAGCAAAATAACCAGCTAACATCATAATGACAGGATCAAATTCACAAATAACAATATTAACTTTAAATGTAAATGGACTAAATGCTCCAATTAAAAGACACAGACTGGCAAATTGGATAAAGAGTCAAGACCCATCAGTGTTTTGTATTCAGGAAACCCATCTCATGTGCAGAGACACACATAGGCTCAAAATAAAAGGATGGAGGAAGATCTACCAAGCAAATGGAAAACAAAAAAAGGCAGGGGTTGCAATCCTACTCTCTGATAAAACAGACTTTAAACCAACAACGATCAAAAGAGACAAAGAAGGCCATTACAAAATGGTAAAGGGATCAATTCAACAAGAAGAGCTAACTATCCTAAATATATATACACCCAATACAGGAGCATCCAGATTCATAAAGCAAGTCCTGAGTGACCTACAAAGAGACTTAGTCTCCCACACAATAATAATGGGAGACTTTAACACCCCACTGCCGACATTAGACAGATCAACGAGACAGAAAGTCAACAAGGATATCCAGGAATTGAACTCAGCTCTGCACCAAGCGGACCTAATAGACATCTACAGAACTCTCCAACCCAAATCAACAGAATATACATTTTTTTCAGCACCACACCACACCTATTCCAAAATTGACCACATACTGGGAAGTAAAGCTCTCCTCAGCAAATGTAAAAGAACAGAAATTATAACAAACTGTCTCTCAGACCACAGTGCAATCAAACTAGAAGTCAGGATTACGAATCTCACTCAAAACCACTCAACTACATGGAAATTGAACAACCTGCTCCTGAATGACTACTGGGTACATAACGAAATGAAGGCAGAAATAAAGATGTTCTTTGAAACCAACGAGAACAAAGACACAACATACCAGAATCTCTGGGATGCATTCAAAGCAGTGTGTAGAGGGAAATTTATAGCACTAAATGCCCACAGGAGAAAGCAGGAAAGATCCAAAATTGACACCCTAATATCACAATTAAAAGAACTAGAAAAGCAAGAGCAAACACATTCAAAAGCTAGCAGAAGGCAAGAAATAACTAAAATCAGAGCAGAACTGAAGGAAATAGAGACACAAAAAACCCTTCAAAAAATTAATGAATCCAGGAGCTGGTTTTTTTAAAGGATCAACAAAACTGATAGACCTCAAGCAAGACTAATAAAGAAGAAAAGAGAGAAGAATCAAATAGATGCAATACAAAATGATAAAGGAGATATCACCACTGATCCCACAGAAATACAAACTACCATCAGAGAATACTACAAACACCTCTATGCAAATAAACTAGAAAATCTAGAAGAAATGAATAAATTCCTCAACACATACACTCTCCCAAGACTAAACCAGGAAGAAGTTGAATCTCTGAATAGACCAATAACAGGATCTGAAATTGTGGCAATAATCAATAGCTTACCAACCAAAAAGAGTCCAGGACCAGATGGATTCACAGCCGAATTCTACCAGAGGTAGAAGGAGGAACTGGTACCATTCCTTCTGAAACTATTCCAGTCAATAGAAAAAGAGGGAATCCTCCCTAACTCATTTTATGAAGCCAGCATCATCCCGATACCAAAGCTGGGCAGAGACACAACCAAAAAAGGGAATTTTAGACCAATATCCTTGATGAACATTGATGCAAAAATCCTCAATAAAATACTGGCAAAACAAATCCAGCAGCACATCAAAAAGCTTATCCACCATGATCAAGTGGGCTTCATCCCTGGGATGCAAGGCTGGTTCAATATACGCAAATCAATAAATGTAATCCAGCATATAAACAGAACCGAAGACAAAAACCACATGATTATCTCAATAGATGCAGAAAAGGCCTTTGATAAAATTCAACAACCCTTCATGCTAAAACCTCTCAATAAATTAGGTATCGATGGGACGTATTTCAAAATAATTAGAGCTATCTATGACAAATCCACACCCAATATCATACTGAATGGGCAAAAACTGGAAGCATTCCCTTTGAAAACTGGCACAAGACAGGGATGCCCTCTCTCACCACTCCTATTCAACATAGTGTTGGAAGTTCTGGCCAGGGCAATTAGGCAGGAGAAGGAAATAAAGGGTATTCAATTAGGAAAAGAGGAAGTCAAATTGTCCCTGTTTGCAGACGACATGATTGTATATCTAGAAAACCCCACTGCCTCAGCCCAAAATCTCCTTAAGCTGATAAGCAACTTCAGCAAAGTCTCAGGATACAAAAAAAAAATCAATGTACAAAAATCACAAGCATTCTTATACACCAATAACAGACAAACAGAGAGCCAAATCATGAGTAAACTCCCATTCACAATTGCTTCAAAGAGAATAAAATACCTAGGAATCCAACTTACAAGGGACGTGAAGGACCTCTTCAAGGAGAACTACAAACCACTGCTCAAGGAAATAAAAGAGGATACAAACAAATGGAAGAACATTCCATGCTCATGGGTAGGAAGAATCAATATCGTGAAAATGGCCATACTGCCCAAGGTAATTTATAGATTCAATGCCATCCCCATCAAGCTACCAGTGACTTTCTTCACAGAATTGGAAAAAACTACTTTAAAGTTCATATGGAACCAAAAAAGAGCCCGCATAGCCAAGTCAATCCTAAGCCAAAAGAACAAAGCTGGAGGCATCACACTACCTGACTTCAAACTATACTACAAGGCTACAGTAACCAAAACAGCATGGTACTGGTACCAAAACAGAGATATAGATCAATGGAACAGAACAGAGCCCTCAGAAATAACGCCACATGTCTACAACTACCTGATCTTTGACAAACCTGAGAAAAACAAGCAATGGGGAAAGGATTCCCTATTTAATAAATGGTGCTGGGAAAACTGGCTAGCCATATGTAGAAAGTTGAAACTGGATCCCTTCCTTACACCTCATACAAAAATCAATTCAAGATGGATTAAAGACTTAAATGTTAGACTTAAACCATAAAAACCCTAGAAGAAAACCTAGGCATTACCATTCAGGACATAGGCATGGGAAAGGACTTCATGTCTAAAACACCAAAAGCAATGGCAACAAAAGCCAAAATTGACAAATGGGATCTAATTAAACTCAAGAGCTTCTGCACAGCAAAAGAAACTACCATCAGAGTGAACAGGCAACCTACAAAATGGGAGAAAATTTTCACAACCTACTCATCTGACAAAGGGCTAATATCCAGAATCTACAATGAACTCAAACAAATTTACAAGAAAAAAACAAACAACCCCATCAAAAAGTGGGTGAAGGACATGAACAGACACTTCTCAAAAGAAGACATTTATGCAGCCAAAAAAACACATGAAAAAATGCTCGTCATCACTGGCCATCAGATAAATGCAAATCAAAACCACAGTGAGATACCATCTCACACCAGTTAGAATGGCAATCATTAAAAAGTCAGGAAACAACAGGTGCTGGAGAGGATGTGGAGAAATAGGAACACTTTTACACTGTTGGTGGGACTGTAAACTAGTTCAACCATTGTGGAAGTCAGTGTGGCGATTCCTCGGGGATCTAGAACTAGAAATACCATTTGACCCAGCCATCCCATTACTGGGTATATACCCAATGGACTATAAATCATGCTGCTATAAAGACACATGCACACGTATGTTTATTGCGGCATTATTCACAATAGCAAAGACTTGGAACCAACCCAAATGTCCAACAATGATAGACTGGATTAAGAAAATGTGGCACATATACACCATGGAATACTATGCAGCCATAAAAAATGATGAGCTCATGTCCTTTGTAGGGACATGGATGAAATTGGAAATCATCATTCTCAGTAAACTATTGCAAGAAGAAAAAACCAAACACCACATATTCTCACTCATAGGTGGGAATTGAACAATGAGAACAACACATGGACACAGGAAGGGGAACATCACACTCTGGGGACTGTTGTGGGGTGGGGGGTAGGGGGAGGGATAGCATTGGGAGATATACCTAATGCTAGATGATGAATTAGTGGGTGCAGCGCACCAGCATGGCACATGTATACATATGTAACTAACCTGCACATTGTGCACATGTACCCTAAAACTTAAAGTATAATAATAATGAATAAATAAATAAATAAATAAATAAAAGATCAAATTTCTTCCTTCAAATGGCATAAAATCTTGAATAAAGCAGGAATCTTCAGAAAGGAGTTTCTGGTCACAGTCAGTGAACAAATATGCTTTATATAACTAGTGTAACCTTTTGTACCTTTTTATTTTAGAGTAATTACAGTTTATCATGTAGTTATAATAAAAATACAGAGAGATTCAATCTGTTGCTTTTTGATATTTGCGTGCATATTTCTGATTGAACATAAGTTTTTATTTCTATGGGATAAATGTTCAAGAGTACAGTTGCTGGGTTGTATGAAAATTGCATGTTTAGTTTAATAGGAAACTTTCAAAAGTAAAATGTACTTCTTAATATTCTCATCAGCATTCTGTCAGTGATCCAGTTTATGTCCATCCATGACAGTATTTGGTGTTGCCACTGTTCTTTTTATTTATAAGCCAATTTGAAAGGTTAATGTAGTGCTATCTCATTGTGATTTTAAATTTCATTTTCTTGATGGCTATTGATGCTGAACACTTTTTAATGTGCTTATTTGGTATTTGTATATCCTTCTCAGCGAAATGTCTTTTCATGTTATTTTTTCATTTTCTAATCCAATTGGCTTTTTTCCCCTTTTAATGTTGCATTTTGAGAGATCTTCATATATTCTAGGCATTAGTCTTTTGATGGCTATGTGGATTTCAAATATTTTCTTCCAGACAGCAAGTTGTCCCTTTTGTTTTCTTAACAAAGTCTCTCAAAGGCAGAATATTTTATAATTTTGATGAAATATGATTTGTTGTTTTTTCTTTTATGGGTAATATTTCTGCCCAAGTATCCTTTACCTAGCCCTAGACTCTGAAGATTTTCTTTTGTGTTTTCTTCTAACAACTTTATACATCTATATTTTATATTTTAGTCTGTGATACATTTTGAGCTCACTTTATTGTTTTAGAGACAGGAACTTGACACCTTGCCCAGGCTGGTCTTGAACTCCTGAGTTCAAGCAATCTGCCCACCTCTGCCTCCCAACTCACTGAGATTACAGGCATGAACGACTATGCCCATTTTGAGCTAATTTTTGTATTAGGTATGAGACTTAGGTTGAGACTTAGACTTAGATTTGTTTGTTTACCTATAAACATACAATTTTTCTAGCCCATTTGTTGAATAGGTTATGCTATCCTCTGCATTAATTGCTTCTTCATCTTTGTCAAAAATCAGTAATATTCACCTGAGTCTATTTCTATGTCTTCTGTTATTTTCTCTTGATCTATGAGTCTATTCCTCCACCAATGCTTCATTGTTTTGATCAATATAGCTATATAGTAAGCCTCAATATTGACTTGATTATGTACTAAGAATTATTTCTTCCACTTCATACTTTTTTAAGATTGTTTTAACTCTTTTAGATTCTGTGCCTTACCATAAAAATTTTATAAAAACATTTTCTATATCTACAAGGAAATTATGCTGGGATTTTGATAGAAATTGCATTAAACCTACAGATGATTTAGGGTGAATTGACATCTTCAACATTTTGGGGCTTCTAATTCATGTGCTTGATTTGTGCCTCGATTTAGAGAGTTTTACAAATTCTTTTCAGGCCAGGCGCGGTGGCTCACACCTGTAATCTCAACACTTTGGGAGGCCGAGGCAGGTGAATCATGAGGTCAGGAGTTCGAGAACAATATGTCCTGAAGCCAATATGGTGAAACCCCATCTCTACCAAGAACACAAAAATTTGCTAGGCGTGGTGGCACGCAACTGTGGTCCCAGCTACTCAGGAAGCTGAGGCAGGAGAATAACTTGAACCAGGGAGGCGGAGGTTGCAGTGAGCCGAGATCGTGCGACTGCACTCCAGCCTGGGTGACAGAGAAAAATTGTGTCTCAAAAGAAAAAAAAATTCTTTTCAAGTTAATAATTTTCAGCCTATAGATCCTGTACATGTTTTTAAAATTGTGTACATAAGTATTTTTTCTCACTGCAACAATCTAGAGTAATTATAAATGATGCTGTGGTTACAGTGTCAATGTCTGCACATTAATTATTAGTATATAGAAATGTAATAATCTTTTTTATGTTGATCTGTTATTTTGTAACCTTGCTAAACTCACTTACTAAGTTAGTTTACTAGCTTACTTACCAACCTCTGTGCCTTTTCTTTTTCTTGCCTTGTCGTGGCTAAAACATTTAGTACTATGTTGAATAATACTAGTAAGAGCAGGTATGTTTTGCTTCTTCTGTATCTTAAGAAAAGCATTCAGACCTTCATCATTAATTTTGATCCCTGCTACAGTATTTTATAGATGCAACTTTTTAAGTTGAGAGTATTTCCATCTATTCCACAAATTCTAAAAGGCTATTATGAATAGATGAAGAAAGTCATGTCAAATATGATACAGGGGATGTATGAGTAAAACATTGGAGAAATATATACCATGCAAATATTTTAAAAATTAAAAATGTCTATATTATTAATAATATCATAAAAGTAGATTATAGGGAAAAGATAATTATTAGTGTAAAAGAGAGATGTCACATAATTATAAAATTATCAATCTACTGGGACTGTATAATGATCCAGTGTACATACCAAAAAAAGCCTCAGAATACATAAAGAAAAACTGATGAAACTAAAATGAAAAAATAGATAAATCTATAATTATATGTGAGGATTTTAACATCTTATTCACAGTAATTGATAGAACTCCTTAGACAGAACATCATCAAGGAAAGAGAAGATCTAAACAACACAGTAAACCTACAGGAATAAATTAACATTCATAGAGCATTCCACACACAAAAAAAACTAGCAGAATATACATTTGTGTACGTGTGAGCCTGTGGAATATTCACCAAAATCAATCATATTTTAGGCTATAACAAAAATCTCAAAAATTGCAAAATAATTAAAATTATATGCTGTGCTCACTGATCTGTTCTTTCTTTTGTTATTTTAGATTCAAAGATATTTGTGCAGGTCTGTTATGTGGACATATTGTGTAATAGTGAGGTTTTAGCTTTTAGTGAACCTATCACCCAAATAGGGAACATTGTACCCAATAGGAAATTTTTGAACGCTTGTGCCGCTTCTACCCACCCCTTCTGGGATCCCCAGTGCCTATTATTTGTATCTTTATGTCCATGTGTACCCATTGCTTATCTCTAACTTATAAGTGAGAACATGTGATATTTGATTTTCTGTTTCTGAATTATTCCACTTAGGATAATGACCTCCAGCTCATCCATGTTGATACAAAGGATATAATTTAATTCTTTTTATGGCTTCATAGTATTCCATGGTGTATATATGCCATATTTTCTTTATCCAAATAATCACTGATAGATACTTAGGTTGATTCTATGACTGTGTTATTATAAATAATGCTACAATAAACAATATAAGTGCAAGTGTTTTTTGATAAAACAACTTATTTTCCTTAGGATAGTTATACAGTAGTAGGATTACTGGGTCGAATGATAGTTCTCTTTTTAGTTCTTTGAGAGATCTTCATACTGTTTTCCATGGGGGTTCAACTAATTTATATTCTCACCTGCAGTGTATAAGCATTCCCTTTTCTCCACAAGGCTGCCAGCATCTGTTGTTTTTTGACTTCTTTTTTAATAATAGCCATTCTAACTGATATAACATGGTATCTCACTGTGGTTTTGATTTGGATTTCTCTGATAATTGGGGACAATGAGCATTTTTATATGTTTGTTGGCTGTTGGAATGTCTTCTTTTAAGAGGTAAGTGGATCACCTGAGGTCAGGAGTTTGAGACCAGCCTGGCCAACACGGCGAAAGCCCGTCTCTACTAAAAAAAAACACAAAAATTAGCCTGGCATGGTGGTGGACGCCTGTAGTCCCAGCTACTCGGGAGGCTGAGGCAGGAGGATCACTTGAACCTGGGAGGTGGAGGTTGTGGTGAGCCGAGATCGTGGCACTGCACTTCAGCCTGGGCAATAGAGTGAAACTCCATCTCAAAAAAAAAAAAAAAAAAAATAGGGGGGTCTGTTTATATTATTTGCCCACTTTTTAACTAGATTATTTGTTTTTTGCTTGTTGATTTATTTAAGTTATTTATTGATTCTGGATATGATTTTTTTATCAGATGAATACTTTGCAAATATTTTCTCCCATCCTGTAGGTTGTTTGTCTGCTCTGTGGATAGTTTATTTTGCTGTGCAGAAGCTCTTCAGTTTAATTAAGTCCCATATGTCTACTTTTATTTTTGTTATATTTGCTTTTGAGGTCTTAGTCATAAATTATTTTCCTAGGCCAATGTCTAGAAGAGTATTTTCTAGGTTTTCTTCTGGGATGTTTTCCATTTTATGTCTTATATTTAAGTCTTTAATCCATCTTGAATTAATTTTCAAATACGATGAGAGATCGGGTTCCAATTTCATTCTTCTGCATATGACTAGCCAGTTTTTTCAGCACCATTTATTGAATAGGATGTTCTTTCCTCATTGTTTGTTTTTGTCAACTTTGTCTAAAAGCAGTTGGCTGCAGGTATGTGGCTTTATTTCTGGGCTCTCTGTTCTGTTTCATTGATCTATGTGTGTTTACTGATCTTGGTGAAATCAAACTATAATCCAGTAACAGAAAGACAACAGAACATCTCTAAACACTTGGAACATTAACAATACATTTTTAAGAACTTTATTCTACATTTTAAAAAACTTTTAACTTCAGATGTTCCTAATCTTCTCCCTCCTCCCACCCTTCACCCTCCAAAAGACTGTGTTGGGGGAAGGGTGGGAGGGGATGAGGGATAAGAGACTACACAATGGGTACAGTGTACACTGCTCAGGTGATGGGTGCACCAAAATCTCACAAGTCACCACTAAAGAACTTATCCATGTAACTAAACAACACATTTTGAAATAATTTATGGATCAAGAATAAGTCGCAAAGGAAAATTTTAAATATGCTATTACTGAAAATAAATGAAAATAAAACATATTAAAAGCTGTACTGAAAGGAAAATGCATAACACTAAGTACTTATATTTTTAAAAGTGGAAAAGCCTCTATTGTGTTCAGGGGTCTTGGGTTGGCCCATTTGGCCAGCTTCCCCACAGGCAATTTTTTTTCCCTATGGTCCAATCGTGTCAATGATGGATCTTAGGCAACACCTAATGTTCAGGCAGTTTATTCTGGCAGTACACTTATAAGATGGACAGTGGGAACAAGCCAGTGGTATGGACCAGTTACAGTCAGGGATCTGATGACTGCCTCACCAGAAGAGTCTCCAACTGGAGAACATTCTGAGAGTTAGAGGAATATTTCCCCTTTCTTACACTTGTATTCAGTCTGGGTCAGTTACGAAGTGTTTCTTTCATAAAGGCAGTTTAAGCTATTCTTATACAGATACGCTTTGTTCTAAGGTTCTTAAAGTTGACTCTGTGCTGAGGTGGCCTTTTCTCTAGGGCAACCAGTGTTTTTTGGCCCCATTGTGAAAGAGAACGAGTAATCTTCAGGGCTATAGTGCTGAAAATCCCCCAGCTAGGATATTTCATATTATTAGTTAACACGTAGGGTAGGTCCTATGAGATGTTCAATTGGGCCTCATGATTATTATTAATCTTATAGTCACAGTATGTCTCATAGTATACTATAGCATCACATTATTTATTATTATTATTATTATTATTATTATTATGTTATTAGAGATAAGGTCTTATTCTGTCACCCAGGCTGGAGTGCAGTGTCCCAATCATGGCTTAGTGCGGCCTCAAGTGATCCTCCAGCTTCAGCCTCTGGAGTAGTTGGGACTACAGGTGCACACAATTATGCCTGGCTAATTTTTCAATATTTTCTAGAGACAGGATCTCACTATGTTGCCCAAGCTTGCAGGCTCAAAATATTAATCTATATTAGGAAACTAGGAAAATAAGATAAAAATAAACCAAAGAGAGGAAGTAAAGAAATAATAAAGATAAGGGCAAAAGTTGATGAAATTGAATAAAAGCAAGCAAGAGCAGCAAAATAAACTCCAATTAAATCAAAATGTTGTATTAATATAATAAATAAAATGTATGAATCTGTAGAAAAACTGACAAAAATTGAAAAAGAAAAAAACCACTGATACCTAGAATGTAACAGGAGCTATCACTGAGGATCCTACAACCATTAAATGAAAAATAAGAAAATACTGCAAATATTTTTATTCATAAATTTGACAACATAGAAGAAATGGACCAATTCCTCTAAAAGCATAGACTACTAAAATTCAATCAAGATAAAATAGATCATCTGAATAGTCATTTAATTATTGAAGAAGTTAAATCTGTAACTAAAAGGCTTTCAAAAATGAAATCTCCAGGCCCTAATGGTTTCATTGGTGAATTCTACAGATGATTTCAGAAAGAATTGACGAGAATTTTACACAAATACTTGCAGAAAATAGAAAATAAAAGAATAGTTTCCAATTAAGAATCTAGTATTACACTTACATGACAATGAGAAAAGTACAGTATAAAATATTACTAACAAAATAGTCTGTTATTAGAATTATTAACAAAATATTAGGAAATTAAATGCAATCATGCATAAAAGAAATTATACACCATGACCAAGTAGGATATAGTCCAGTTATTCAAGGCTAGTTCAATATTTGAAAATCAATCAATTTAATGCAGCATATCCACGGGCTTAAGAAGAAAACATCATGTGATCATATCAATTGATGAAACAAAATAACCAAATCTAGCACTCATTTATGATAAAAATCCAGCATACCTTATAGCAATAAAATTTGAAAAACTTTTTAGTAAGTTTTCAAAAAGTCCCCACCATTTTCCATTGTACGCTTGTTACCAGCTTGCCCCTAAAAACATTTATGTGTAAAACCTTTGCTAGAACATAGCCTACTAGAATTCTCATTTTCCTTAAACTGTCTGGATGCAGAAGGTGTTTATACTGCCTCATGTAGCTATCAGTGGTTATATGTATTTTTAAATTTCTTATTGGGGTTAAAATACACCTGACATAAAATTTACCATTTTTTATCATTTGAAGTGTAAAATTTAGTGGCATTATGTAAATTAACAATGTTGTATAACAACCACCACTATCTAGATTAAATATTTTAATCACCTCCCCCCAAAAATTCTCATCCATTAAGCAGTCATGTCCTGGTCTTTCTTCCACCATTTCCCCCAACCACTAATCTATTTTTTATTTATTTGGATTTACCTCTTCTGAATATTTTATATGAAGAAAATAGTAAAATATGTGGCCTTTTTTGTGTGGCTTCTTTCTCTTAGTATAATTTTCTCAAGGTTCATCTATGTTGAAGCATGTACCATACTTCATTCTTTTTTATGGTTAAACAATAGTCCATTGTATGGACATACCACAATTTATTTATCCATTTTTCTGCTGATAGGCATTTGCATTCTTTCCACTTTTTGGTTATTGTGAATAGTACTCCTATGAATATTCATCTACATGTTTGTATTTCATCACTTTTTTTCAATTCTCGAGTATATACTTAGAAATGGAATTGCTGGGTCATATGGTAATTCTATGATTAACTTCCTGATGAACTGCTAAACTGTTTTCCACTGCAGCACACCATTTTACATTTCCACCAGCAATGTAAAAGATGTTAGTCCTTATTAAGGATATAATGTAGTTTAAAAATACTGTGCAAAATATAAGGCATGATCAGCATTCTCAAAGAACTTCTATACCACTTATCAGTCTAATTAAATTATGAAGATAAGTCAGGAAGTCAAGAATCATAATGTATATGGCCTTTATTATTGCCTGGTGCCTAGATGAAAACCTTATACATAGAACACTTTTTATATTTGTTTACTGATTGGGTGTCTAGATAAGATAAATTAAAGAAAATAAAAACTAAATGAAAGGCAACCTAGAGGACTTCAAGTACACGATATTCTTTGATTAAAAAAAACATGAGGATCAATTAAGAACAATAAAATCGAAGAAGAGAATGACAACTTGAAAGACTAAGTGTTCTAAGAGATTAGATAGTAGGTGCAAAATGATGCACGAGAGACATGTTTTTCAGCACTATCTTTGTGTCCCATTAGTTGCAATTTATAGTAACCTGGGATAATCCACTCATCCCAAGAAACACTTTAAGATCCACAAAATCATTATTTGAATGCTTCATTCTGCTTGTGTTACATTAAGAAAACTGCACAGTAAGAGACATGTTTAAAAGTTAAGAAAGTTGGTGGGCATGGTGGCTCATGCCTGTAATCCCAGCACCTTGGGAGGCTGAGGTGGGCGGATCACCTGAGGTCAGGAGTTCAAGACCAGCCTGGCCAACATGGTGAAACCCCATCTCTACTAAAAATACAAAAATTAGCTGGGTATGGTGGTGGGTGCCTGTAATCCTAGCTACTCAGCAAGCTGAGGCAGGAGAATGGCTTGAGCCTGGGAGGCGGAGGTTGCAGTGAGCTGAGATCTCGACACCGCACTCCAGTCTGGGCTAATGAGCGAGATTCTGTCTCAAAAAATAAAAATAAAAATAAAAAGGTAAGAAAGTTTATTAGATAAATAAAAAGGCTAATTCCAGATAAGAAAAATATTATTACAACAATTGCTATTGACAAAGTGCTTCCATACAATTTATGCCATTAGCTTCACTACATAAATGCTAACTAAAAATATATAATTACATGCTAACTGACGAAGATAACCATATTTTACTTGTGTATGAAAATAATTCAACAAATCTTCCACACTGATAACAATTTTATATGTTACATACAATTAAAGTCATAAAACATTTTTAAAAACATGAATTTAACCTCCATTATACTAGGACAGTACAGAACAAAGAAATTCATTCTTCATTTGGCCAGCAAAGAGACAGAGTTTGAAACATTACTCGTAGGCTTAGCTGATTAGTCCAAAACAGTACACAGGATCTTTATTATCCCCTATCTCTGTAACTACTTTTCTTTTAAAACATCACTGAGTGTCAAATACAAGTGACCATCTATTAAATTTCATTCTGATTAATGAACCCACAAATGTTAGAATTATTTTAACATTGAAATGAAAGAAACTCCCAATATTATTTTAAATCATAGAATAAAAAGAAGGAATATTTGTTTTAAATCACTAGCCTAAGTCCCTTAAAACGTCACGTCAGCAGATCACAGTGCTTAACAATGTAGCAGTTAGGAATGATCATGGGTAGGAAGAATCAATATCGTGAAAATGTCCATACTGCCCAAGGTAATTTATAGATTCAATGCCATCCCCATCAAGCTACCAATGACTTTCTTCACAGAATTGGAAAAAACTACTTTAAAGTTCATATGGAACCAAAAAAGAGCCCACATTGCC
The DNA here is from genome assembly GCF_000001405.40 of Homo sapiens. Classification (NCBI taxonomy): domain Eukaryota; kingdom Metazoa; phylum Chordata; class Mammalia; order Primates; family Hominidae; genus Homo; species Homo sapiens. The sequence continues at coordinate 82,537,205 of NC_000023.11, read as the reverse complement.
AAGTCAATCCTAAGCCAAAAGAACAAAGCTGGAGGCATCATGCTACCTGACTTCAAACTATACTGCAAGTCTACAGTAACCAAAACAGCATGGTACTGGTACCAAAACAGAGATATAGACTAATGGAACAGAACAGAGCCCTCAGAAATAATGCCACGTATCTACAGCCATCTGATCTTTGACAAACCTGACAAAAACAAGAAATGGGGAAAAGATTCCCTATTTAATAAATGGTGCTGGGAAAATTGGCTAGCCATATGTAGAAAGCTGAAACTGGATCCCATCCTTACAACTTATACAAAAATTAATTCAAGATGGATTAAAGACTTAAATGTTAGTCCTAAAACCATAAAAACCCTAGAAGAAAACCCAGGCAATACCATTCAGGACACAGGCATGGGAAAGGACTTCATGTCTAAAACACCAAAAGCAATGGCAACAAAAGACAAAATTGACAAATGGGATCTAATTAAACTCAAGAGCTTCTGCACAGCAAAAGAAACTACCATCAGAGTGAACAGGCAACCTACAAAATGGGAGAAAATTTTCACAACCTACTCATCTGACAAAGGGCTAATATCCAGAATCTACAATGAACTCAAATTTACAAGAGAAAACAAAGAACCCCATCAAAAAGTGGGTGAAGGATATGAACAGACACTTCTCAAAAGAAGACATTTATGCAGCCAAAAAACACATGAAAAAATGCTCATCATCACTGGCCATCAGAGAAATGCAAATCAAAACTACAATGAGATACCATGTCACACCAGTTAGAATGGCGATCATTAAAAAGTCTGGAAACAACAGGTGCTGGAGAGGATGTGGAGAAATAGGAACACTTTTACACTGTTGGTGGGACTGTAAACTAGCTCAACTATTGTGGAAGTCAGTGTGGCGATTCCTCAGGGATCTAGAACTAGAAATACCATTTGACCCAGCCATCCCATTACTGGGTATATACCCAAAGGATTATAAATCATGCTGCTATAAAGACACATGCACACGTATGTTTATTGTGGCACTATTCACAATAGCAAAGACTTGGAACCAACCCAAATGTCCAACAATGATAGACTGCATTAAGAAAATGTGGCACATGTACACTATGGACTACCATGCAGCCATAAAAAAGGAGGAGTTCATGTATTTTGCAGGGATATGGATGAAGCTGGAAACCATCATTCTCAGCAAACTACTGCAAGGACAAAAAAACAAACACCACATGTTCTCACTCATAGGTGGGAATTGAATAATGAGAACACATGGACACAGGAAGGGGAACATCACACACTGGGGCCTGTTGTGGGGTGTGGGGAGGGATAGCATTTGGAGATATACCTAATGTTAAATGACGAGTTAATGGGTGCAGCACACCAACAAGGCACATGTATACATATGTAACTAACCTGCACATTGTGCACATGTACCCTAAAACTTAAAGTATAATTAAAAAAACAAAAACAGCAACAGCAACAACAACAACAAAAAAAAAAAAAATAGCAGTTAAATGTGGTTATGGAGCCTACTGCCTGGTCTTATACTCTCACTTTCCCAACCACTAGCTGTGTGACCTCAGATAAGTTGTTTAACTTCTCTTTGACTTGGTTGCCTCACACGTAAAACGAAAGTAATTATGCGTATGCCATAGAATTATTTGTGGATTAAATCAGTTAATAAATGTGAAACTGCTTATAATAGGGATTGTTAATGTTATATAAATGTTATGATTATTATGTTGAGTGTTCAGAATTTACATGCAGTATCATCTATGCAATCAGAAGTGAATAAGGGAAGACTGTTTTTCTTCCTTCAGGGGCATTCAAAATATAGAAGTCTCTCCTTATCTGAGACATCAGAAGAGATACTGTTGTACCCTATAGTCCCAACAGAAAAGAAACTGAAGAATTTATATATTTTGTAAAATTTAATTCATTCACCAAGTTACTTTATGAGAGAACAAATGTCAATTCCTATTTTATAGCAAATAAAACAAGAAAGAGAAAAACAGTGGGAATCCTTTATAGCCCTGCTGCAGGGAGGCAGGAAGACCGCCTGCCTTATATCCTCACCGTATTCTCTCAGGCTTTCCCTGCTAAGAGTTGTTAGATTTACAGTATAAGAGATGACCCACAGTATGTTTAAATCCTAAAAAGAAACGAAAAGAAAAGAAAAAAGTTGGATTAAAACAGTGTTGTACTGTATTTCTGAATTTAAGGAAATATTAGCACTACATAAACACTAATATTTTCAAGGACCATTATATTTTATTATTTTCTAAGTCTAATTCTTTTATTCCACAAAAAATCTCCTATTGGGCCAAGTTATTGGACTTTTGGCTAAGAAGGACAAAAAAGTGCACCTTTGAAGCCAATGTTGAACCAAGTATAGAGAAGTTATCTAGTAAAGAAAGGACATCTTAACAATTAATTTAAGCCTCTAAAGGGAAGAAACAATTTTTTCCTTCTGATTTATCCAGATTGTCTGTTGGTGTGTTACCAATTTTACTATGAAATAGTAAAAAACTCTCTGTTCTCTCCTAGCTGAAGAAAAACAGCTTATATATTGTTCTTTTAACTCTTCTGAGATAATGTGACCCAAGCAATATCATCGATGTTCTTTTTCTTCTTTCATATCCCTATCTGTTTTATCCTTGACATAGCATAAATCTTAGTTGTTTTAAGCTTAGGGCTGTATATGAAAACACCAACACCCCACTGTCGTGCAGCTGCATACATATTCTCTCTTACCTCTGAAGTTTTCCTCATCTACAGCAGCAGTGCTAGGGGTCAAACACACAAAGGTGCTGTCCCTCAACGCAGCAAACACCGCCATGTGTTGTATGTTTGATGAATTAAAAGGATGCTGCCAACTTAATTACACTGTAACCCTTCAATAAAGGAAGGGCAGAGCTGATTAACTAGTGAATAATTGGGGGCTGATTGATGGCTCTCTCCCTCACTGCTGAAGGCTGTATATATAATTATTTTGCCTTTGGGCCTAATTTTGCCACTGTTAGCTTCCACTTTTGTCATCAGTTGTAATTTATAGTTGAGTCTTGCAGCCTTAAAGAAAAAAGGGGAATACAAAATGGAATAGCTCTGATCCTTAGATATGTCACCTGCAAAAGGCCAGCAGGAAGCCTTGAACATCAACATTTACTGTCATTTAATAGTATTAACACTTCATGCTTAGCTAAAAAAATTATAATTTTTCAGTGATCATAATATCGATTTCTTTGAGCTTAAAATGATATTGTGTCATCTAGTAGGTTTGGATGCACTTTTAGTTCAAGATTGATTTGTTAAAAGTCAAAAGAATTACATAATGCTCTTTTTTCTCCAAATGTTCCCTCTTTTTAATGTACTAGCAAAGCTGTGAATATTTTTTAAAGGCAGCAGGGTATAATTTCTTCAACGGAAAGTTTTTAAAAATCAGACATCCTCAGCAATCATAAATATTAGCATAAAATGACCACTATGACTAAAAAATAAATCCAGTACCAGAGTGTATATGAAAAATACAATATCTATTAAGCATTTATCATGTACAAGGTACCGTGCACAATTTGAAAAATATATACAAAGTAATAACAGTCATGTGCTAAAACCTCAGTATATCAAATCCTTAACTTAAAATGTAGTATATGAAATATTTCACTCATAAAGCTGTTGTAAAACACTGTGATTCAAATAAAGCAGACCAGTCATAGCAAAGGGCTTTATTGTGGATACTCCAAGTTTTATGAAGAGACCAACCCCTTACCATAAAGGGGGAAAATAAGACTAAAGAAATGACTTAAAGATTGCTATTTTCCTCACCATGCTAAAACAATGCAGATGGCTTTATATTCCAGATTTTTCTTTCCTTAGTGGTCATAACATCTTACGTGTATATTTTTGGTAACTAATTTTTAAAATACTGCAGTGGCAAAGTTTCTAAATTATAAGCCAAGATATGCAAATTTTCCCTCTCAGATTTCCTTTGTTGTTTTGTCCTCACTGAAAACTTTCTAGCCTGTGACTCACAGGACAATTTGAAGAATCTTTCAGTCAAAGCTCAGTAGTGTGCCAGTGGGCATAGGCTAGGAGAAAAAAAAATAAAGATTGATATTTGCCCTCTCTTCTTATCTGCACTTAATTTATAAGTCAATGTGGGTATACAGGAGAAATAAAGGCAGAGACCTTGATGCCTCCCCGTGGAGAATATGCACCATTTGGATTGAAAGCATGAAAGAGGGGAAATTAATGGTAAGCTGTTCATCTGTCACTACTGCCAGCCTGATGTTTTTGCAGAGAAAGCGAGGACTTATATGACATGCCCTCCAGTGAAGGGCAAGTCTGTCTGCTATTCTATTATAAACACAGTGCTCTGGGTTTCAGAGGGATTTAAATGTACTATAAGACTGTACTTTGGATAGATGAGTATTTATACAATTTTATTTTGCAAAAGTATTAACTTGTAGAATTCTGCTTGTTTTAAGAGGAAATCATATTTTCTCCCTCTCCCCATTTTTCTTCTGTCTTCATTTCCTTCTTTTCCTTAAAAATTAAGTCAAACCTTCTGTTTGACGATGTGGCTTGGGCCTTTTACATTTGGCTAAATTTTTCTTGTATTTTCACATTGCAGTAAAATGTAAATAGATCCTAAAGATTAGGCACATGAAAAGTGGAGAGGACTTAGTTAAATTTCACTGTACAAAATGTAGAAAATGACTGCAAAATTTAAAATGTAAGGTGTGATTTTTTATTTCCATTGAATATAAGCACAACTATGAACATATTGTGAAGTACCCAATTGACAGAGGGAAACATAAATAAAAATTTGATCTTGTGTGGAAGATAAAGGAAGTCATATTTCCTTATTATTGCCATGATTTATCATGTTAAGAATTGATATATTATCGGAACACTCGATGCTTTCAGTGGGAAATGGAGTAGTACAGAAATTGATGGCAGAAATTAAAGTTTAATATTCTTCACTCAACTTTCCAATGTAACAAAAAAACTCTATATTCTTTATTATAAGTAAAAGGGAATTTGGTATATGTATTTACTTTCGTTATTTATATTATCTTTATTATTGAATAATTGTTTTACAGAAAATTGACCAAAACAAGAGAAAAAGAAAGGACATTAGCATTGTTTTAAAGTAGAAGAAGAACATAAAATAGAAACAAAGTAAACTTTTAGTAATTTGGTGAGGGTCTAATCCATTATTATGTTCTAACTAAGGAAACATTTTCAATAGACATCAAGTAAACCTCAATACAGAAAGGCAGAAACATTTCAGTTTCCTTACAAATGCATGAAATAACAACTATAATATAAATAATTCAAGAAACCTTTATTTCATGGAAATTAAAATATTATTTTTGTAAATATATATGAAAGGAACTTCAGCTTCTGTTCCGATATATACCCATACATGTGAAGACCCAGTATGCTTCCTTCAAGAAGATTACATTTTAGTAACAGAATAAAGTAAGACAAATATGCAAGTAACTAAAACAATGGCAAAAGCAATATTTCCATGTGAGCAGTAAACAAAACAAAATGAAAATGTTAAAAGTTCTGTGAACTCAGCTGCAAGACAAATTAATCCTGAGTATAAAAGAGTAACATGAACAAAGTGGCATTTTCTATGAACTTTAGACAGTTGGGAGGATTTAGAGTTCATGAATGAGGAAGAGGATTTTCAACTAGGGAAAGATAATGCTGGTGTGGAGGAAGTTCAGGAAATGGCAAGTAGTCCAATTTGCTGGAGTAGGGAAAATATAAAGGAGAGTTGTGGGTAATAAAACTGGAAAAGAAGAGTTGATTTGTGCTATAAAGAATTTTGAATGCCATGATAAAAAGTAAATTCCTTATTTGGTAAGCATGGAAAATCACAGAAGAATTTTAGTTAAGAAGAGGGTAAACAAGATGAATTTGATTATTTAGTAAGATTGATTTAGTAGGAGATTATAGCATAGATTGAAGTAGAGGGAGATGGAGAACCAGAGGCCACTTAGAAGGCAACTGTAACTAAGGATATGATAGGTAATAATAGTCTGGATAAGTGGACAAGCAGTGGAAATGAAAGAAAAGAATACCTTTCAGCATTCAGTGGAGGTTGAATTCATAGGGCTTTTGTAGCTGAATGATGGCTGATATTGAACTTGGATGATAGAACAATGGAAGAATCATACAAAAAATAGGAAAAAATAGAAAGAAGGTGGAAATACCTTTGAATTTAATTGAAAATTCAGGACTGGAGCCCACAGGAGAGGTCGAGATTAGATATTGAGCTTTAAGAAGTATCAGCACCAAACCAAAAAACATTTTAACATCGCTCATTTTGATTTTTAAAATTAACCTCCAGAAACATTGTGTCGCACACAGTACCCTGTGTTTAGAAACAACTGTAGCAATCAACCACATCAGAACCCTTTTTTGGTCATCTCTTAATGGAGTATTGACAAATCAACACCCCTGGGGTGAATTTCAGTGTAAAAGAATTATACACTGTTGATTTCTCTGGCCTGTTTGCTTGGGTTGAAACATTTATTTCTCTGAAAAAAAAAATGAAACCCTTTAGGCAGAGAATCAGTTACTAGTTTAGTATTATTTATTTTTTTAAAAATTCTATCTGCTTATGATGCCTTATATGTGTGTATGTGTGACAGAGACAGGGGAAAGACGGAGGGAATTAGAGAGGAAGAGTGACAGAGAAAGAGGGAGAGGGAAAAAAGGGGGTAAAAGAGAGGGAAACAGACAGACAAATACAGAAAGACACAGAGAAAAAAGAGACACAGAGAGAGAATCAATATGCAAAGATGCAGTAACATGTAGGCAAAATAACATTTTTGTCCATGAATGATCAGAGACAAAACTCTTATTTGAAGATGTATATTTTCAACTACAGTAGTCTTCTGACAAAAATTTATTTCTTTTGTAGTTTAGGGAAAAGGTCTTTGTAAATATTATAAACTGAAATGCTATTCCTCAATTTCACCCTTTGTATTATTCCCAAGACCTCATTTGGTGGATTTCTGTATAATAATAGATAACAAACATTTCAGCTCTTTAAAAAACCCTGGAATAAGTGATGTTATAGACTAGGATGTTGGTAGATCTAGGACCCACCAGATCTCAGAGCTAGGCCACAAGCAAACTCTCAAAATCTACTTCTAGACATTAGTATTTGCAATGGTGAAACAAAAAAAAATTACTTTTACAATAAATATTTAAATGCTTAAAACTGTTTAATGCTATGACTATCTCTGTGGAATTACCCTTGAGATTCAGAAAGGTACCTAGTTTGTTTGTAATTAACTGGCATAGCCATATGTCTGGGTCGATTATCTCAGTTATAATACTAATGAGGATAAAGTTACAAGTTTGATTACATGAGTCAGTTAGCATCCAGTTCTAATTTCTACAATGTCACAGCCTGAACATAAACTCCATATCTCAGTCATTATGAGAGAGAAAACCGTCATAACACTAGTCCCAACAGAGGTGACATAGGTCAAATAGCATGAGAGTCAAAAAACATCAATGCACAGGGCTTATTACAAGATTGTTTCCTTTACATAAGGATATAGACACAAGTGCTTCTTGGAAAGGGAAATATTTCAGACTATTTATAAACAATTATTCAATGACTATGAATATTCAAGAAGTTCAGAATGTGGTATCTGTTACATGGAAGGAACAGTTGGTTAGTTTCTATAACTCAAGCCATCTTGCAATTCCTCATTACATGTCTTTTGCACGTGTAAAAATCCCTTTGACAAAATTCTGTTGTTCATTTTGGAAAATAAAATACCAGTGTATTTGATCCACATTTGCTTTATAATGTATTTCAGTAAAGGGATATTAACATCACTCATGCTACTGAAGGGCAAGGACTGAATTTTTCTATTATGTTAATCTTCATATTCCTATAAGCATATTATATGGTTAACTAATTGATTCTATGCTGGTTTAAAACTGAATCAAACCACCTAAGAAACCATGGAGTCACTTTAATCCCTGGGAATCAGCTTTTCAAAACACGATTCAGATTTGTTTCTTTGTTTGTTTGTTTCTTTTTGTAGGCCCCAGAGTGGCTAGAATAGAGCCAGGTACACAATAGGTGTGCAGTAAAGAAAGAATGGATGGATGGATGGACGGATGGATGGAGAGAAGAATGCATACATCTCCAATCAGGCCTTGGCCTCTGGTCTTCTGTGCCTTTCCCATGCTTTTAAAGTGGTGGTGATTTGTATTTAGATTTTACAATCTTCTTTACATATACTGCTTTATCTTATATTTTTTGAAATATTTTGATCAGCAATGTAGGCATTGAAACTAAGTGCTTTGAGGCCCACCTCAGGGCTAGGTTTGCACCTGTGGACATCAGCTTCAAGCTGGCCCCCACAGTACCAGGCTCCATACAGGCCTTGGTGACTCCAGGCTTAAAGGCTTTAGGCCCATCCAGTGCCACGTCAGCAGAAAACTCCAAGCTGACCCCTGAAGCCTTAGGCTACAGGCCCATTCACAGCATGAAGCCAACCCCTGCATCCCCAGGCTCCAAACCAGCACTTAGGGACCCAGGTTCTAGGCTTATCCTTATGCCAGAACAGTACCCAATGGCCTCACCTCCCAGCTGGATATCACAGACTCAGCCACCAGGCTAGTGCTCATAGACTCAGCCCACAGGCCAGCTCCTGCAGATATGGTCTGCAGGCTGGAAGAACATCAGACCAGCCCATGAAATCCTGTGCTTCTGCAACCCAGGGTCCAGGCTCATCCTAGTATACCTTAGGCCGAGGTTAGACCCATCAAAGCCATTCTTCAGGCCCACCTCAGCACCAGAACAATCCCTGTAGCATCAGGGTATAGGCCAACCCCCAAGGACCTATATTCCAGGCTAACATTTGCAGAGCCAAGATTCAGACTGAATCCCATAAACTCAGGCTCCAATTCTGCCCCAGTTCCCAGTCAGCTCCCATGGAATTAGGCTTCAGGCCAATCCCTGTGGACTCAGGGACTAGGACCATCCCTGAACCAGGCCTGACCCCATGGACCCAGGCTTCAGGATGGACACCAAAGACATGTGCTTCAGGCTTCTTCCTACAGATCCAGTTGACAAGTCCACTCTGGTGGACTCCAGTACTAGGCTTGCACCACAAACCCAGGATTCAGGTCTACACAGAAGGCCCAAGCCCCAGGCCAGCGCCTTTAGACTCAGATGCCAGCTCTACCCACCTGCTGACTCAGGCATCAGGTCAGCTGGCTTAAGTACTTGAATAGAAGCACTACATGTGGACCCCACCTGACAGCCTGCCCAGAATCTCTGGACTATCTTATTGATGAAGGGTTTTCCCTGTCAAAACCAGTCTGCAAAGACTGGGATAGGTGTATATTTCTTCAAATGTGCAGATACCAGTGCATGACTGAAGGAATGATGAACAATCAGGGAAACATGACACTACCAAAGGAAGAAAATAAAGCAACGGTAACCAACCCTAAAGAAATGAGGATTTATTGACTGCCCGAAAAAGAGTTCAAAATAACCTTCATGAAGAAGCTCAGTGAGCAGCAAGAGAACAGAAAGACAAATTAAAAAATCAGAAAAATAATAGTGAACAAAAATTAAAAGATAGAAACGACAGTAGTCCCTACTTATTTGTGAGTTTTCTTTCCACATTTTCAGTTAATTGAATTCAACCATGGTCCAAAAATATTAAATGAAAATTTTGAGAAATAAAAAATTCATAAGTTTTAAATTGTGTTGCATTCTGCTTAGCATGATGAAACCTCATGCCATCTTGCTGTGTCCCACCTGGGACATGAATCATTTTCCTTTGTGCAGCATATTCCTGCTATCTATGCTACCTTCCCATTAGTCACTTAGTAGCCCTCTCAGTTATCAGATTGACAGTTGCAGTATGTCAGTACTTGTGTTCAAGTAACCCTTATTTTACTTAATAATTACTCAAAATGACAAGCATAATGATGCTGGCATATTGTTATGATTGTTCTATTTTATTTTTGTTTTTTGTTGTTAATCTCTTACTGTGCCTAATTTATAAATTCAACTTTATCATAGATATGAATGCATAAGAATAAACAATATCCATAGGGATTTGTATAAGCTGCAGTTTCAGGCATTCACTGAGAGTCTTGAAATATATCTTTCATGTATAAGGGGAGACAACTGTATAAAATAGAAACGCACAAATTGTATAAAATAGAAACACACAAATTCTGGATCTGAGGAAAACAAAGACATGGCCTTGCAAAAAAATGTTTTGATATGACCTCCAAAATTTTTGATAAAATAAAAAATAGACAAATGGGACTGCATCAAACTAAAAAGCTTTGGCACAGCAAAGGAAACAATCAACAAAATCAAGAGACAACCTATGGAATGGGAGAAAACATTAGCAAAATCTACATCGTATAAGGAATAAATATACATCCAAAATATATGGAACTCAAACAACTCAATTGAAAAAAAATCTGATACATAAATAGGCAAAAGAGCTTGTGATAGCTAAGATTAGGTGTCAATTAGACTTGTTTGAGAAATTGTCAGATGGCTAGTATGCATTGTTTCTGGCTGTGACTGAGAGGGTGTTTACAAGAAGATTGACTTTGGAATCAGTGGATTGAAAGAAAAACCTGCTTTCAGTGTGGGCAGGCACCATCAAATCAGCTGGGAGCCTGAGCACAATAAGGTGGGTGGAAAAAGAGGGATACTCACCTCAATTTTGCTTTCTCTTTCTCTATCTTCTGGAGGAGGATGCCTTTTTCTCCTCCCGTTTTTGAATATCAGAGTCCAAGTTCTTCAGCTTTTGCACTCTAGAACTTGCAATAGTTGCCTCCTATAGGCAACTCAGGCCTTTAGCCTCAGACTTGAAGCTACATTTTTCATTTCCCTGGTTTGGAAGCTTTCAGACTTGGGCTGAGCCCCATTAGCAGCTTCTTTGGAAGCCACACTACTGACCTCTCCAGGAATCACACTACTAGCTCTCCTGATTCTTCAGCTTGCAGTTGGCCAGCTGTGGGACTTTACCTTCATGGTCACGTGAGTCAATTCACCTCTAATAAATCTTCTTTCACACACACACACACACACACACACACACACACACACACCACACCCATATTTATCCTATTGGTTCTGCCCCTCCAGAGAACCCTGACTAATACAGACCTAAATAGACATTTCTCAAAAAAGACATAAAAACGGCCAACAGGAATGTTATAAAATGCTCAAACACATTATTCACGAAAGAAATACAAATTAAAACCACAATGAGTTATCACCTAACACCCCTTAGAAGGGCTGTCATCAAAAAGACAAAATATAAGTGTTGGCAAGGACATGGAAAAATTAGAACCCTTGTAAACTGTTGGTTGGAAACACTATTAGTTGAAAACAGTGTGAAGACCCCTCAAAAATTAAAAAGACAACTACCATATGATCCAGCAATCCCACTTCTGGGTATATATGCAAAGGAAATGAAATTAATATGCTGAAAAGATAACTTCGCACACATATTTATTGCAACATTACTCATAATAGCCAAGATAAAGAAAATGTTATAATGTGGTGTGTATATATGATATATAATATTACATATATATGTGGTATATATTTTATATATGTAATATTCAGCCTTTAGAAAGAAGGAGCTCCTACAATTTGCCACAACATGGATGAAACTGGAGGACATTATACTAAATCAAATAAGCCAGACAGAGAAAGAAAAATACTAGATTATCTTGCTTATATGTGGAATCAAGAAAGTCAAACTCATAAAAGCAGAAAGAATAGTGGTGGTTGCTGGAGGTTGAGGCTGTATTACTACCCCACCCCAGTCTCTGGGGAATTGAGAGACATTGGTTAAAAGATACAAAGTTTCAGTTAGACAGAATTAATATGTTCTGGAGATGTAATATACAGCATGGTGATTACAATTAATAAGATTATATTGTATGCTTGAAAATTGCTAAGAGTTTAGACCTTAAATGTTCTCACCACAAAAAAAATGATAAGTAAAAATGAGTTAATGGATATGTTAATTAGTCTATCTCATCATATCACAACGTATACATATATCAAAACTTCACATAGCACACTATAGATATATAAAAATTTTATTTTTCAGTTATCCTTTAATGAAAATAATATTTTAAAAAGAGCATAAACTGAGGAGATAGGTTGAATATGCAGACTAGAGACATTCGACACTTGCCCTTTCCAGAAAGAAGAATCAAAACTATGAATAATCACACCGTGAATAGAAAATCTAAGAGAGAACATTGCTGTACAAAAGAGAAACCACCGGAAATACCTGATGAACAGAGGGAGAAGAAAGTGAGTGACCAGCTTGTCCAAGATTAACAGGAGCCTTAAGAGATTCCCTACTGCGGGAAAAGGGGAAGTGAAGAGACCTTCAGTGGTCCATAATCTGACCATGGACTGCTGCAATTCTAATCATGAGAGGGTTCTTGTACTGACACAAACACTACCATGGGTAGTGATCTGAAGTCTCCACAAGGAAATTGCACCAGACGAGGAATACATTCTAGCTTGCACACTCCCTGTGAGACATAAGCGGTTGCAACATTGTGCCATCGTAAAAGCACAGCCATCATGGGACTGCATCCTTCCCTGGAAACCACAGCTTCCTTATCTCCACATTTCAAGAGCTCCCACTGACACCACCCAGTGTGAACCTGGAGGGCTACAATGGCACAGTCCTGGCTGGACCCAAAAGTGCTGCAGAGTATTGACTACTCTACCACACAGGGAGTACTAATATCCATGGAAAGGACAGTGCAGTGCAGCAAGGAGGTGGCCACTGGAACAAAGGAAACCAGAGCATGTGCTTTTCAGAAGCAACCCTGCTCCCTGAAATGCCACAAACTCTGTGCCCAGGCTTGTAATAGGTGAGTAGAATACCTTCCCCATTCCGCATATGGCTGCAGCAGTTACTGCCATAGGGAGCATAGGCAGGCAAGCCTGAGAGCTGACTGTCTGAGCCTGGGATCAGCAACCCCAACCCCACTGGCATAACAGCCTCTGTTCTTGGGCTTATATGGAAAAAGATAAGCTGCTTCCCTGCTCTGCACACTGCCACAGCCACAGCAGCCCTGTTGCTGCCACTGGGAGCTGGAGTGAGTGAGTCGGAAGGCTGCCTGTCTGGAGCTATGAGTGGCAACTGCACTCCAACTCATGTGTAGAAGATGAGGTCCCTACCCTCCTGTGCAGTGCTGTCACTCATGCTCCACATCTGACAGCTGCATGTCCAGGGCTGTGAACGGTAACAATCTCCCTGGCGGCAAGGTCTCTGTTTTCAGGCCCAAACACAGAAGGCAGGATTTCCTTTGTCTCTCTGCACAACCTTGCAGTCATCGTGCAGCTAGAAACCGAAGCAAGTGCTACACAGAACCTGAAAGCATCCTGTTTGGGGCTCTGAGTGCCAACCATACCCATGCCAGAAGCAAGGCCCCTGTATTCTAGTATGTGTCCTGAATACAGGATCCTCACACACACCACTGTGGCTACTGCTGCTTGCAGAGAAAAAGTGTGCACTCCCCAGAGTCTGAGAGCTGTCTGCAGGGGATTTCTGATAGCAACCACACAAACACCAAGAGTAGAACCACTGTCTTTTAGCATGAATCCTGAGGTCATATTATCCACACCCACTACTACAGATCACCATGTTCTACCTACTACAACTTATGCCTATGCCCCTGCACACCACAAGCGGCCTGAGGTGAGACTTGCCAAGCCTGACACCACCACCTCAGTACCTGAGCATGATTGAGTACCTGGGGATTTCTCTGCCCATTTCACTACCTCTGGCTTATGTGTACTCCCCCTGAGAAAGTGAAAACAGACACATCCAGCCTGCCAGCAACATACCAACAGCACCAACCCACACAAGTCACCTAGGAGCCTAGAGATCAGTCTTCCCAGCCCATCAAAGCTATCATGAACATAAGTATGCACTGCTTGGGACCAAGAGTATCATCCTGCCCTGGTATTGCCATTGTTCATGCCACAACTGCTCAGAAGCCTGAGAACCCACCTGCCAAGAACACAGCTGTCACTACCAGCACTCAAGCAAGACACCTGGAGGCCCAGGAATTTACCCACCTGAACCCACTAAAAAAGTGCCAGTATATGCCATCCTTGGGCTCAAGAACAGAGATGTTTAGTCCTCTGCCACCACCACTGGAACCTGAAGATTGGCCCACCTAGGATCCGTGTCCTGGACAAAACTTTACTACCACATTTATTAATAACTACACCCTAAACCACTGAAGAAATTACAGATAGCACTGATGCTGTTTAGAGGCAAATAAATCATACAGAGACTACAATACTGCACACACCCAGAATAAAAGCCAAAGAACTCTACCCAACCAAAACCACTGACACATATTCAGGAAAAATTCCTCAGGTATGAAAGCAAATTCAAAAAATTGGGAGAAGTGACTACCACAAAAAATGTGTAGAAATCAATAAAAGAACATAGAAAATGTGACAAACAAAAAATGACACCTTAAAAGGAGCACAACAATTCTCCAGCAAGAGATCCCAATAAAAAATTTAAAAATTCTGGAAAATTTTGGTAGTAAAGAAATTCAGTGAGACACAAAAGAATTCCAAAAAACGATACAAACAAATCAGAAAGACAATTTAGAATATTAATGGGAAATTTACCAAAGAGATAAACATCATTTTTCAAATGAAAATTTGGGAACTGAAGAATTCACTGAATAAAATACAAAATTTATTCTAAAGCTTCAACAATAAACTAGATAAAGAAGAAAAAAAAGCTCACAACTTGAGGACGGGTCCTATGAGATAACCCAGTCAGACCAAAATTATTCTTTTTCAATGAAAAAGAATGATTAAAGCCTTTGTGATATATGGGGCATCGTAACATGGCCAATTCTGCAATTTATTGGTATGCAAAAAAGTGAGAGAAGAAAAAAGGTGTTTGAAAACCTATTTAACAAAATAATAGACAAAAAGTTTTGAAGTCTAGCAAGAGATTTGGAAATCCAGATACAGGAGGTTTAGTGATCCCCAAACAGACACAATACAAAATGGTCTTCTCCACAGCATACCATAGTCAAACTATCTAAAGTTAAAAACAAGAGAGAATTCTTAACAAGACAAGAAAATGTTTCACCTATAAAAGAACTCCCATCAGACTAACAGTGGATTTCTCAGCAAAAACCATATAGGTCAGGAGAGAATGGGATGATATATTCAAAGTGATAAGAAAAAAGTAAACAAAATTTTCACCCAAGGATACTACGTCTAGCAATATTGTCCTTCCTAAATGAAAGAGAAAGTACCACAGTTATTGTAATGATAACACATGGAAATCTGAACTCACTGGTGACACAAACACACAAATGAGAAAGAGAACAGACACAAATGGTACCACTATATAAACCTGCAAAACCACAATAACAAACAATAAGTGACAAAGAAAGGAACAAAGAATGTACAAAACAGCAAAAAAAACCAATTAATAATATGACAAGGAAAAATCCTCACGAAACAATAATAACCTTGAATGTAAATTAATTAAATTCTCCACTTAGAAGATATAGACTGGCCAGGTGCAGTGGCTCACACCTGTAATTCTAACACTGAGAGGCTGAGGTGGATGGACCACTTGAGGTTTGGAGTTCGAGACTAGCCTGGCCAACATGGTGAAACCCTGTCTCTACTAGAAATACAAAATTCAGCTAGGTATGGTGGTGGGTGCCTGTAATCCCAGCTACTCAGGAACCTGAGGCAGGAGAATTGCTTGAACCCAGGAGGTGAAGGCTGCAGTGAGCCGAGATCATACCACTGCACTACAGCCTGGGCAACAGAGTGAGACTCCATCTCAAAAGAATATATATATGGCTGAATGGACAAAGAAATGATCCAATTATATGCTGCATACAAGAAATACACTTTACCGGTAAAGAAACATAATAGACCGAGAGTAAAAAGGTGGAAAACTATATTCCACCAAAATGGAAACCAAGAGCTAACAGGAATAGCTATATATAGCAATACTAAAGACACATGAATTCAATAATTGAGTGCTCAGATTCATAAAGCAAATGTTATTTGATATCAAGAGAGAGAGCCTTTAATACAGTAATAGCAAGACTTCAATAAGAGATTCTCAGCATAGACAGAAAATCTAGAGGAACAATAAAAAAGAAACATTAGATTTGAAAGGGATCTGAGATCACATGGACATAACAGACATTTACAGAACATTTTCTCCAATAACAGAAGATTACATGTTATTCTCATCAGCACATGGAATATCCTATATGTTAGGACAGACTATATGTTAGGACCCAAAATAGGCCTCAAAAAATTCTAAAATAAACAAAATCATATCAAGTATTTTCCCAAACCACGATGAAATAAAACTAGAAATCAATAGGAGAGAAACTTTGGAAACTGTACACATATGTGGAAATAAAATAACATGTTTCTGAGTGAATATTGGATCAATAAATAATGTGGAAATAAAAGAAAAATTCTCGAAACAAATGAAAATAGAAACACAACATATTGAAACCTGTGAGATACAGCAAAAACAGTGCTAAGAGAAAAGATTATAGAAGTAAACACCTACATAAAAAATTCAAATAAACAATTTAACAATGTATCTCTATAAATTAGAAAATCAAGAGCAAACCAAACTCAAAATTAGTATATGAAAAGAAATAGTAAGTTTAAAAATATACAAAGGATGAATGAAATAAAAAGTCAATTATTCAGAAACATAAACAAAATTGATAAAACCACGAGCTAGACTAACCGAGGAAAGAAAAGAGAAAACCCAAATAAAATTATAAATGCAAACACAGTTGTAACAACACTGCCACAGGAATGCAAAAGGTCAATGGAGAGTGTTATCAATAGCTATATGATATAAACTGAAAAACTTAAAGAAAATCAATTGATTCCTGGAAAGATATAACCAACCAACACTGAATCAGGAAGAAATATAAAATCTGGACAAACCATGATATGGTTTGGTTCTGTGTCCCCACCCATATCTCATGTGGAATTTTTATTCCAAATTTTGGGGAAGAAACATCATGGGAGGAGGTTGGATCATGGGAATGCATTTCTCCCTTGCTCTTGATAGTGAGTGAGTTCTCACAAGATCTGACAGTTTAAAAGTTTGTGGCACTTTCTCTCTCTCTCTCTCTCTCTCTCTCTCTCTCTCTCTCTCCTGCCATCCTAGGAAGAAGGTACTTGCTTTCCCTTCACCTTCTGCCATGATTGTAAGTTTCCTGAGGCTTCCCAGTCATGTTTCCTGTTAAGCCCGCTGAACTGTGAGCCAATTAAAGCTCTTTTCTTTATAAATTACCCAGTCTCGGGTAGTTTTTTATAGCAGTGTGAGAACGGACTAATACAGAAATTTGTCACCACAGACAGTGGGGTGCTGCTATAAAGATACCCCAAAACGTGGAAGTGACTTTAGAACTGGGTTGTCAGCAGAGGATGGAACAGTTTTGAGGCCTCAGAAGAAGACAGGAAGTTGTGCTAATGTTTGAAACATCATAGAGACTTGTCAAATGGTTGTAACCAAATTGCTGATAGTGATATGGACAGTGAAGTCCAGGCTGAAGTAGTCTCAGATAAAGATGAGGAATTTATTAGGAATTGGAGTAAAGGTCACTTTTGCTATGCTTCGCCAAAGAGACTTGCAGCATTTTGTCCCTGGTCGAAATATCTGTGAATCTTTGAACTTGAGAGAGATGACTTAGGGCATCTGGTGGAAGAACTTTCTAAGCAGCAAAGCATTCATGAACGACTTGGCTGTTTCTAAAAGTGTATGCTCATATGCATGAAGAAAAAGATGGTATGAAATTTGAGCTTATATTTAAAAGGGAAGCACAGCCTGAAAGTTTGAAAAATTTGCAGCCTGACCATGCAGTAGAAAATATATACTCTCTTTTTTTCTGGGGAGAAATTCAAGCTGGCTTCATAGACTTGGATAACTAACAAGGAGCCAAATGCTAATAGCCAAAATAATGATGAAATGGCTTCAGGGCATTTCAGAGATCTTTGCAGACTTCCCCTCCCATCACAGGCCTGGAGACCTAGGAGGAATACATGGTTTCCTGGGTCAGGCCTAGGGTCCCGTTGCTCTGTGCAGCCTCGGCACAGGGTGTCCTCTGTCCCAGCTGCTCAAGCTTTTGCATTGCCTAAAAGGGGACAAGGTACAGCTCAGGCAGTTGCTTTAGAGGGTGAAAGCCCCAAGCCTTTGCAGCTCCCATGTATTGTTGTGTCTGCAGGTGCACAGAAGGTAAAAGTTTGGGAGCCTTTGCCTAGATTTCAGAGTATGTATGAAAATGCCTGGATGTCTAGGCAGAAGTCTGCTGCAGGGGTGGAATCTTCATGGAGAACCTTCATTATGGCAATGCAGAGGAGAAATGTGGGGTTGGAGCCCCACACAGAGTCCTCACTGGGGCACTGCTTAATGGAGCTGCAAGAAGAGGGCCATGGTCCTCCAGACCCCAGAATGGTAGATATACTGGCAGTTTGCACTCTGTGCCTGAAAAAGCCACAAGCACTCAATGCCAGCCTGTGAAAGCAGCCATGGGAGCTGTACCCTTCAGAGCCACGGGAGCAGAGCTGCCTAAGGTTTTGGGAGACCATCCATTGAGTCCGTGTGGCCTAGATGTGAGACAGGGAGTCAGGAGATCATTTTGAAGCTTTACAATTTGATGGCTTCCCTGCTGTGTTTCAGACTTGCATGGGGCCAGTATCCCCTTTGTTTTCACCAATTTCTCTAATTTGGAATGGGAACATTTAGCCCAATGCCTGTATCCCAATTGTATCTTGGAAGTAACTAATTTGTTTTTGAAATTACAAGCTCATAGGTGGAAGAGACTTGCCTTGCCTCAGATAAGACTTTGGACTTAGACTTTTGTCTTAATGCAGGAATGAGTTAAGAATTCAGAGGACTGTTGGGAAGGCATGATTGTGCTTTGACATGTGAAAAGAACATGAGATTTGGAAGGGGCCAGGGGTGGAATAATATGGTTGGCTCTCTGTCCCTACCCATATCTCATGTGGAATTTTAATTCCAAATTTTGGGGAAGAGCCCTAGTGGGTGGTGACTTCATCATGGGAGTGGGTTTCTCCCTTGCTGTTCTCATAATACTGAGTAAGTGCTCATAAAATATGGTTTAAAAGTGTGTGGCACTTCCCCCTCCCTCTCTTACTCTGCTGCCTCCCTGTGAAAAAGTTGCATGCTTCTCCTTCACCTTCTGCTGTGATTGTAAGTTTCTTGAGGCCTCTCTGTCATGCTTCCTGATAAGCCTGCAGAACTGTGAGTTAATTAAACCTCTTATTTTCAATAAATTACCCAGTCTTGGGTAATTCTTCATAGTAGTGTGAGAATGGACTAAAACAGACCAATAACAAATAGTGGAATTATGTCATTAATAAAATGTCATCCAACAAAGAAAATTCTAAGATCAGATGGAATCACTGGTTAAGAGTCTACCAAATGCATAAAAAATACAAAATATATCTATACCATATATACTATAGATATACTATAGATAGTATATCTATAGCATATATGCAATAGATAGTATATATACTATATATAATCTATAGTATATATAGTGTATATGGTATAGATATACTATTAGAGTATATATAGTGTATATGGTATAGATATACTATATAGAGTATATATAGTGTATATGGCATAGACATACTATATAGAGTATATATAGTGTATATGGTATAGACATACTATGTAGAGTATATATAATGTATATGGTATAGACACACTATATAGATTATATATAGTGTATATGGTATAGACATACTATATAGAGTATATATAGTGTATATGGTATAGACACACTATATAGAGTATATATAGTGTATACGGTATAGACATACTATATAGAGTATATATAGTGTATACGGTATAGATATACTATATAGAGTATATATAGTGTAGATGGTATAGACATACTATATAGATCATATATAGTGTATATGGTATAGATATACTATACAGAGTATATATAGTGTATATGGTATAGATATACTATACAGAGTATAGATATGCTATATATACTATATATACTATATATAGTATATATAGTATAGATATATCATATGTAGTATATATAGTACAGATATAGTATATATAAGATCTTATATATATACTATATATACTTTATTATATTATATATGATCTATAGTATATATAAGATCTTATATATAATATATAGTATATATAAAAGATCTTATATATACACGATCTTATATATATTATATATATAGTATATATATAAGATCTTATATATATATATACACACATACCTTTGTGTATCAATAGAAGAAAAAAAAAGCAGAAACTCTGAAACTTCAATATATCTGTTTGAATATCATCCCACCAGTGACTAGCTGTGTGATCTTGTAAAATTGAATTAACTTCTCTGTGCTATAATTTCTCATTTCTATATTGGTCATAATAATGCTACCTGCCTCCTAATAGTCATAGAAGATTAAATAGAATAATATATAGAGAGCATTTAGTAGAGTTTCTAGTATTTTATGTATTATATAAATGATTATTATTGCTAAAGTTATATTTGTACTGTAAAATGCCAAACAACTTACTTTATGCAAAAAATTTTTCTGACCTAGTGAAAAAAATTTGAAAATCAGTAAAGAGTATATGTACAAAGAGAGGTTGAGATAGAGTGAGATAAAAGAAATTAAGTAAAAAGCAAAAAAAGAAAGGTGAAACAATAAAGGTTCACAGCTGAAAATATTTTTTAATTGTTATAGAATACATAAAACATAAATCATACAATTTTACATGTAAGATTCAGTAGTATTAATCACATTGGCAATGTTGTACAATCATAACCACTATCTATTTGCAAAACATTTTCATTACTCCCAAGCAGAAACTATGTACCCATTAAAAATAATTTTTCAGATCTCCCTTCTTTCTCACCCCTGGTAACAGCTAATGAAATTTTCCCTTTATAAATTTGCCTGTTTTATATATATCATATAAGTGGAATCATACAATAGTTTTTTTATGTCTGTCTTGTTTCACTTAGTGTAATGGTTTAATGTTCATCCACATCATAGTATGAATAAGAACTGATTAAATTTTATGGCTGAATGATTGTGTGTGTGTGCATGCGTGTGTGTGTAATTTTGTTTATCCATTCATCTCTTGAAAAGCACTTAGTTTGTTTCAAGATTTGGCTATCATAAATAACACTACAACAAATATTGGCATACACATATGTGTGTGAGTCACTCTTCAATACTTTTGAGTATATAACTAGTGGTGTAATGGCTGAATCATGTTATAATTTGGGTTTTTTTTTTTTTTGAGAAACCATTAAACTGTTTTCCACAGTAGCTGCACCATTGTCCATTTTCACCACTAATGTATGAGAGTTCCACTTGATTCACATTATTAAAGAAAATAGTTATCCTATTTTGTGAGTAGTGGCATCGCATTGTAATTTTGATCTGTGTATCCCCAATGACTAATTATGTTAAGCATCTTTTTATGTGTATGTTGATCATTTGTATGCCTTCTTTAGAGAAATGTTTATCCAAACCATTTTCTCATAATGTAAATGAGTTATCTTATTTTTATACTCTATACACTAAAACTTTATCAAGTGTATCATTTGCAGATCTTTTGACTCATAACTTAAGTTGTCTTTTCACTTTCTTAATAATGTCCTTTGATGAACAAAATTTTCAGTTTTGATGGAGTCCAATGTATCTATTTTTTGTAGCTTGTGCTTTTGGTGTTATAGCTAAGAATCTATTGCAACTCCAAGGTAATGAAGATTTAACTCTATGTTTTATTTGAAACATTTTTATGATTTATTCCTTAAGTTTTGTTATTTGATTTATTTTGATTTAATTTTTCTATAAAGTATGAGGTAAAAGTTCACGTTTATTCTCCTACACGTACATATTCATTTTTCCTGTCACCATTTGCTGAAGAGACTGTTCTTTCCTCCATTTAATGGTCTTAATACTAATTTCTCATTAGAAACCTTGGAGGCCAGAAAGTAGTGGGGTGATCTGTTTAATGCACGGAAAGAAATTTTTAGAAAAAAAAACCCTGTCAACTTGGAATTATATATGTCAAGACTCTCCTGCAAAAAATAAGGGAGGACGTAAGACATTTACAGATAAACAAAAGCTGAAGGAATCATTTTCAGTAGACTATCTTTATAAAAATGCTAAGGCAATTCCTTCATACAACTATTATCTGCTCATAGAAATATAAATATAAAGAAATGCCTTCAGATTGAAATGTAAGAACTGTATGTAGTAACTCAAAGGCATATAAAAATATAAAGAATTTCTGTAAATGTAAATACATAGACATATATAAAAGCTATTATTATTGTAATTTTGGTTTTAAGACTCTGCTTTAAATTTTCCATGGTTTTGAAAAGACAAATGCATAAAATATAATTATAAATCTATGCTATTAGGCACATAATAAATAAAGATGTAACTTGTAACACAAATAACATAACAGGGAAGGTGAGTAAAACAGTATAGTTATAAGTTCTATTAGTATGTGACTGAAGGTAAATTGGTATAAATTCAAATTAGATTATTATAATTTGGGGATGCTACATGTAATCTTCATGGGAACCCCAAATAAAATATTGAATACAAGAAATAAAATAAAAAGGGTGTAAACATTTATAACTTCAAAGAATCCATTAAACACAAAACGAAGTAATGGAGGAAACAATGGAAAAATCTATAAAATATATTTAAAAAATTAACAAAATGAAAATAAACCCTATTAACAAAATGAAAAAAAACCCTATTTTTTCCCTTATTAGTAATTACTCCAATGCAAAGGAATGTCCAGTCATGGAGGCTCATGACTTTAATCTCAGTGCTTTGAGAGGCCAAGGCAGGAGGATGGTTAAAGGAGAGGAGTTCAAAACCAGCGTGAGAAACATAGAAAGACCCCATATCTAAAATAATAGAAATAAAAAATCATACAAATTAAACTTCCCAATCAAATGGCATAAAGTGGAAAAATAGATTAAAATACATGATTCAAATATATGCAATCTACAAATGCTGAACTTTCCTAGAACACAAACAGATTGACAGTGAAAAGAATAAAAATGTATTTTATGTAAATACTGAACAAAAGAGAGTTGGACTGGCTACACCAATAAGAGACAAAATAGTCTTTAAGTAAAAAATTACTACAAGAGACAAAGAGGAACATTATACATTGATAAAAGACTAACTTCTCAAAATATATAATGATTATGAACATATTTGCACCAAGCAATAGCGCTCTGAAATATGAAGCAAATATTGACATAATTGAAAATGGAAAAGGGGTTCTAAAATAGCAGTTGGCAACTTTAATACTCCACTCTTAATAATGGATACACAACCACAAAAAAAGAACAGTGTACTAGTACTGAATAATACACTATGGTATTCTCTAGATAAACAGAATTAACTACGTAGATGTATGTGTTTGTACACATACATACACACATAATGATATGGTTTGGGTGTGGCACCACCCAAATCTCATCTTGAATTGTAATTCGCACATTTCCCAAATGTCATGAAAGGACCCTGGTGGAAGGTAATTGAATTATGGG
The DNA here is from genome assembly GCF_000001405.40 of Homo sapiens. Lineage (NCBI taxonomy): Eukaryota > Metazoa > Chordata > Mammalia > Primates > Hominidae > Homo > Homo sapiens. The sequence goes on along the minus strand of NC_000023.11, from coordinate 82,513,500 downwards.
GGCAGGTCTTTGCTGCACTGTTCTTGTGGTAGTGAATGAGTCTCATGAGGTCTGATGGTTTTAAAAATGGGAGTTTCTCTGCACAAAATCTTGCTTTGCCTGCCACTATCCAAATAAGATGTAACTTGCTCCTTCTTGCCTTGTTCCAGATTGTGAGGCCTCCCTAGCCATGTGGAACTGTGAGTCCAATTAAGCTTAAGCTTTTTTTTTTTTTTTTGTAAATTGCCTAGTTTTGGTTATCCCTTTACCAGCAGCATGAAAACAGACTAATACAGTGAATTGGTTCCAGTAGAGTGGGGAGTTGTTGAAAATGTGGAAGCGACTTTGGAACTGGGTAACAGGCAGAGGTTGCAACAGTTCAGAGGGCTCAGAAGACAGAAAAATGTGGGAAAGTTTGGAACTTCCTAGAGACTTGTTAAATAGCTTTGCCCAAATTGCTGATAGAAATATGGACAATAAAGTCCAGGTTTAGGTAGTCTCATATGGAAATTAGGAACTTGTTGGGAACTGGAGCAAATGTGACTTGTTATGTTTTAGCAAAGAGACTGGTGACACTTGCCCCTGTCCTAGAGAATTGTGGAACTTTTAACTTAAGGGAGATGATTTATGGTATCTGGCAGAAGAAATTTCTAAGCAGCAAAGCATTCAAGATGTGACTTGGGTGCTGCTAAAGGCATTCAGTTTTATAAGGGAAGCAAGCATAAATGCTTGGAAAATTTGCAGCTGGACAATGTGATTGAAAGGAAAATCCCATTTTCTGAGCAGGAATTGAAGCTAGCTGCAGAAATTTGCATAAGTAACAAGGAGCTTAATTTTAATCTCCAAGACAATGGGGAAAATGTCTCCAGGGCATGTCAGAGGCCTTCATGGCAGCCCATCCCATCACAGGCCTGGAGGCCCAGGAGGAAAAAGTGGTTTTGTGGGCCAGGCCCAGGGCCCCTGGGTTGTGTGCAGCCTAGGGACTTGGTGCCCTGCATCACAGCCCCTCTAGTTGGGGCAGAAAGGGGCCAACATAGAGCTCGGGCCACAGCTTCAGAGGGTGGAAGCCTCAAGCCTTGGCAGTTTCCATGTGGCATTAAGCCTAACAGTGCACAGAAGTCAAGAATTAGGTTTAGAGGACCTCTACCTAGATTTCAGAGGATGTATGAAAATGCCTGGACTTCAGAAAATGCCTGGATATCCAGGCAGAAGTCTGCTGCAAAGGCAGGGTTCTCATGGAGAACATCTGCTAGGGCACTGGAGAAGGGAAATGTGGGATTGGAGCCCCACACAGAGTCCCTACTGGGGCACTGCCTAGTGGGGCTGTGAGAAAAGGGCTACCATTCTCCAGATCCCACAATGATAGATCCACTGACAACTTGCATCATGTGCCTAGAAAAGCCACAGACAACACCAGCCCGTGAAAGCTTCAGGGAGGCAGGCTGTACCCACCAAAACCACAGAGGCAAAGCTATCCAAAACCATGGGAACCCACCTCTTGCATCAGCAAGACCTGGATGTGAGACATGGAGTCAAAGGAGATAATTTCTGAGCTTTAAGATTTGACTGCCCCACTGGATTTTGGACTTGCATGAGGCCTGTAGCTCCTTTGTTTTGACCAATTTCTCATATTTGAAACAGCTGTATTTACCCAATGTCTGTAGCTCCATTGTACCTAGGAAGTAATTAACTTACTTTTGATTTTACAGGCTCATAGGCAGAAGGGACATGCTTTGTCTCAGATGAGACGTTAGACTGTGGACTTTTGAGTTAATGCTGAAATGAGTCAAGACTTTGTGGGACTGTGGGGAAGAAATGATTGATTTTGAAATGTAAGGACATAAGATTTGGGAGGGGCCAGGAGCAGGATGATATGGTTTGGTTGTGTCACCACCCAAATCTCATCTTGAATTGTAACTCCCACAATTTCCATATGTCACGGGAGGTACCTAGTGGGAGGTGATTGAATTATGGGGAATGGCCTTACCTGTGTTGTTCTCATGATAATGAATGAGTCTCACAAGATCTGATGGTTTTAAAAATGGGATTTTCTCTGCACAAGCTCTCTCTTTGCCTGCCACCATCCACATAAGATGTGACTTGCTTCTTCTTGCCTTCTGCCATGATTGTGAGGCCTCCCCAGCCACTTGGAACTGTGAATCCAATTAATCCTTTCTTTTGTAAATTGCCCAGTCTCGGGTATGTTTTTTATCAGCAGCGTGAGCACGAACTTATACACATACATATATAAATACCTTTATCTATGTATCTATATAGAGAGACATATAGATATAGATATCTCTGTGGAGATTGATCTGTAGACTTATCTTTTTCTTTCTACACAGTCATTCCTAGGTAACTGTAGGGGATTTTTTCTAGGAACCCCTTGTATGATTTGGCTCCTTGTTCCCACTCAAATCTCATCTTGTAGCTCCCATAATTCCCATGTGTTGTGGGAGGGACCTGGTGGGAGATAACTGATTCACAGTGGCGGGTCTTTCCCATGCTGTTTTCATGATAGTGAATGGGTCTCACAAAATCTGATGGTTTTAAAAATGGGAATTTCTCCGCAAAAATGTCTCTTTGCCTGCTGACATCCCTATAAGATGTGACTTGTTCCTCCTTGCCTTCCACCATGATTATGAGGCCTCCACAGCCACGAGGAACTGTGAGTTCTCCATTAAACCTCTTTCCTTTGTAAATTGCCCAGTCTCAGTTATGTCTTTATCAGCAGCATGAAAACAGACTAATACACTCCCATAGATACCAAACTTCACAGATGCTCAGGTCCCTTGTATGACATGACATAGTATTTGTCTATAACCTATGCACATCCTCCTATATACTTTAAATCTCTAGATTACTTATAATACCTAAAACAATGTAAGTGCTATGTAAATAGTTGTTATACTGTATTTTATATTATTTTTCTTTTTTCTTTCTTTTTTTTTTGAGACGGAGTCTCACTCTGTCACCCAGGCTGGAGTGCAAAGGTGTGATCTTGGCTCACTGCAACCTCTGCCTCCTGGGTTCAAGCCATTCTCCTGCCTCAGCCTCCTGAGTAGCTGGGATTACAGGTGCCCGCCACCACGCTCAGTTAATTTTTCGTATTTTTAGTAGAGATGGTGTTTCACTATGTTGGTCAGGCTGGTCTCCAACTCCTGACCTCTTGATCCACCTGCCTCGGCCTCCCAAAGTGCCAGGATTGCAGGTGTGAGCCACCACGCCTGGCCATATTATTTTTCTTATTGTTTTCTTAGTGATTATTTTTTTTCTTGAATATTTGTGATTCACAGTTGGTTGGATTAATAGATGCAGAAGCCACAGACATAGAAGGCCAATTGTTTGTGTGTGTGTGTGTGTGTATGTGTGTATAAAATTTCTCTAGATAGATAGTCAATAAAGGAATAGATAGATTGATAGGCAAATACAAAGGGATTTCTTTCTGAAATCAGTCATATGATTGCAGAGGTGCAAGTTTAATATATTAAGAGTAGTCTGGCGGACTGGTGACCCAGGAAAAAGTTGTAGTCCATGTACAAAGGCAGTTTACTGGCAGAATTCCTTCTTCCTTGTGAGATGTCTGTTTCATTTAATTAAATCCTTCCATTAATTGATGATTCTCGGCCACAATAGAGGGTAATCTGCTTTACTCAAGTCTACTGATTTAAATGTTAATCTCATCCATAAAACGCATTCAAAGAAACATCCAGAATAATGTTTGATCAAATACCTGGGCACTGTGGCCCAACAACGTTGACACAAAAAAGTAAACATTACAAGTCCTCCCCTTGTCAAACTGCCATCTATACACATCTCTGTACACCATACCTAAACTCTTAATAAAGAAAATTAGAAGACCATACTCCTGCCAAATATAATACAACTATCCGCATATAACTGAAAATGTACTAACTCCTTTCTCAGAAGAGAATGCAAAATCTTTGGAAAATGTTTACTCTTCTTCTTGATATCCCATAACTGAAATAATATGATGTAAAGTAAACAATATGTAAAACCATGATATAATGTAAATATATATTATGTTACATGATAAAAGCATAGAAGAAAACAAAGAATTATTTATACACATATTCATAACAAAACAAAATAAGACAACTACAATCACCTTTTCTATAACTTGTCATGCAGTCATATCTGGTACTCATAACTATACATACTGTATTTCCTTTGCTCTTAGAAAATACTTCAGCTGGTTGTAGTTTTTCACCTGGGGACTGACACAAAGTTTCATTCCAGAAGTGTCTGGGCTATTAATAGTCTCTTCTTCACAATTCAGAGTAATGAGGAGCTCAAAGTGGCTGAGGAGCAATCTTAACTTCCAATTCAATGGAATTCTTGTGTCTTCTAGTAAAAGTATCCATCCCTTTGTAATTAAGACCTGTAATATTATAGAAAAAAAATTGTTACAAGTGAGTCACTAGCGGTAATAGTTTTGCCATTCCCATTTCAACTTGTTGATTCCTGGACCTGTGAATCCTGGGTATGGGAGGAGCATTACAATATACTGGATGCTGTTTTAGATCATACACAACTTTCTGAAGAAATGTGCCCCAGCGCTACATGGTATTTACCACTTAGATTGCACTGTCACAGAGTCTTCAAAAGACCATTTCATGGTTCTGTTGGCCAGCTCCATAATTCTGGTGGAGAAAACATGGCAAGACCACTGAATCCTATGACCATAGTCTCAATGCTGTGCATAAAAGGAAGGCAAATTTATATCCGCAGTAAGTGTATATTTTAGCAACAACAAAATACTGTCTTCCATGATGAAAGCAGTTCAATGAAATAAACCTGGCACCAGGTAGCTAGCTGATCACCCTGAGAAATAATTGCAATCTGAAACTAAAGGCAGTCTACTGGAAGGATTTTTTTTCCCCAGGATAAATTATTCTATTTTTATTGAGAGCTTCTCTTGATTATATGAGGCCCACCCTCATTATAGAGGGTAATCTGCTTTACTCAAAATCCTCAAATTTAAATGTTAATCTAATCCAAAAAGAACTCACCTTCATAGAAACATTCAGAATGATATTTGACCATGTGCTGGGCAGTTACCCAGCAAAGTTAACACATAAAATTAATCAATATAATCAGTGAGAATACTGTGAACTTGAACAAAACTATAAACCACCTGCAACTAAAAGAAATACAGAGGACACTCTACCCAAAAAACAGCACCACAATACATAGCATTCTCAACTGTACATGAAACATTTACCAGGGTAGACTATATATTAGGCCATAAAATTGGTACAAATAAAGATTAAAAACATATGGCTGAGCAAGGAGGCTCATGCCTATAATCCCAGACTTTTGAGAGTCTGAGACAGGAGGATTGTTTGAGGCCAGGAGTTTAAAAAGAGTCAGGGCAACATGGTGAGATCCCATCTCTTCAAAAAGAAAATAGATTAGGTGGGCATGAAGATGCATGCCTGTAGTCCCAGCTACTCAGGAGGCTGAGGTGGGAGAACCACTTGAGAACAGGAGGATGAGGCTACAGTGAATCATGTTCACCCCTCTGCACTCAGCCTTGGTGAAGAGGAAGACTGTCTCAGAAACAAACAAACAACACCAACGTGCAATATATATTTTTAATAAAAATGGAATGAAACTAATAGTAAATAACAAAAGGAATACTAAAAAAATTTACAAGTATGTGGAAATGAAACACCTTTTTACAAAACAAATAGGTTAAAGAAAAAAATATTTAAAAATTGATCGGAAAAACACTGAGACTCACAAAATTTTAAAACAACATCCCAACACTTACACAGTCAGTCAAAGAAGGTCTAAGAGGAAAATTTATAGCTTAAATGCTTACATTATTTAAAAAATGTATCTAGAGTAAATAATTTAACTTTACAACATAAAGGACTGGAAAAAAAGCAAACCGAGCTCAAATTTGGTTGATGGAAAAAATTAATATGGATGAGAACGAAGATAAATATAAGAATAGATAAACAACAGAGAAAATCAATAAAAATAAAAATTGGGCCAGGTGCGGTGGCTCACGCCTGTAATGCCAGCACTTTGGGAGGCAGAGGTGGGTGGATCACGAGGTCAGAAGATCAAGACCATCCTGGCTAACACGGTGTAACCCCGTCTCTACTAAAAATACAAAAAAAAAATTAGCCGGGCGTGGTGGCAGGCGCCTGTAGTCCTAGCTACTCAGGAGGCTGAGGTAGGAGAATGGCGTGAACCCCGGGAGGTGGAGCTTGCAGTGAGCCGAGATCGCGCCACAGCACTCCATCCTGGGTGCCAGAGTGAGACTCCATCTCAAAAAAAAAAAAAAAAGAAAGAAAAAAGAAAGAAAGAAAGAAGAAAGAAAGACAGAAAGAAAAAATTGATTCTTTGCAAGGATAAACAAAATTGACACAACTTTAGCTAGATTGACTGAGAAATAAGAGAGGTACCACATAACTAAAATTAGAAATTAAGATAAATTCTGGAGAGGATGAAGAATAAAGGGAATTCTTACATACTGTTGGTGTATGTAAATATATATGTAAATTGTGTATATGTAAATTAGTACAGACACTGTGGAAAGCAGTATGGAGGTTCCCCAAAAAACTAAAAATTAAACCACTGTATGTTCTCAGCAATCACACTACTGGATATACATCCAAAGGAAAGAAAATTATTATGTTAAAGAGATATCTGACTTTCTGCCTCCGCTACTGCCATGGCACCCGTGAAAAAGCTTGTGATGAAGGGGGGCAAAAAAAAGAAGCAGATTCTGAAATTCACTCTTGATTGCACCCACCCCATAAAAGATGGAATCATGGATGCTGCCAATTTTGAGCAGTTTTTGCAAGAAAGCATCAAAGTGATCAGAAAAGCTGAGAAACTTGGTAAGGGGCAGTGACCATCGAAAGGAGCAAGAGAAATATCACCGTGACATCCCAGGTGCCTTTTTCCAAAAGGTATTTGAAATATCTTACCAAAAAATATTTGAAGAAGAATAATCTATGTGATTGGTTGCACGTAGTTGCTAAGAGAGTTATGAATTCCGTTACTTCCAAATTAACCAGGATGAAGAAGAGGAGGAAGATGAGGATTAAATTTCATTTCTCTGGAATATTTTGTATGAGTTCTTGAAAAGAATTTGGGAACCAAAATGGTGGTTTATGCTTGTATCTCTGCAGTGTGGATTGAACAGAAAATTGGATTCATAGTCAAAGGACTTCCTTTGGGCCACCAGTCACTTATTTATACCATGAATTTTTTTTTTTTTTTCTGCTTGAAAATTTCAATTCTCGTGGTAACACCAGAGTACAAGAGGGTGACTTTACAGAAATGACAGCCATTGGGCAGGCAGGTAAGGGTGTGGAGGTGTGGACTGAAGGTAGTGACTGTTTTATTTTAGAAGTGTGACTGTCAATTGTTTCTGTTGCTTTTCCCAAAGAATGATTCAGGGATACAAGTGGGTTCCTCTCATTCATTAAGAGAAAATATGACAGCTTTCTAAGATTCTCTGTGGGAAAATAACAGTGTCAATAAAATTCAGGTTTCTGGGACATTTGTCTTACTTTGATTTTTTTATTGCAAATTTCTCTTGATGCACACAATTGTGTCTACTAATCCTCTTCTTCCTAGAGAGAGAAAATATGCTCCTTCAGCATTGCTGTGTAGTCCATCACTTTCCATAAAGGGGTTTGGGGAATTGATTGTAAAAGTCCCAGGTTCTAAATTAACTACATGTGTACAAATATGAATGTGTCTGTTTCTACAAAAAAAAAAAAAAAGAAATTAAGGTGGGGACATTACTACGAAAAAAATAAGTAGGATTATAAGAGAGTTTAATGAAGAATTGTATGCCAATAAGTTAGATAACTTAGATAAAATGGATAAATTCCCAGAAACATACAACTCACAAATACTGAATAATGGATAGAAAATATGAATGGATATATCAGTAATAAGGAGACAGAATCAGTAATCAAAAACTTCTGAAAAAACAAAAGCATATCCTTCACCCACTTTTTGATCGGGTTGTCTGTTTTTTTCTTGTAAATTTGTTTAAGCTCTTTGTAGACTCGGGATATTAGCTATTGGTCAAATAAATAGATTGCAAAAATTTTCTCCCATTCTGTAGGTTGCCTGTTCACTCTGATGATAGTTTCTTTTGCTGTGAAGAAGCTCTTTAGTTTAATTAGACCCCATTTGTCAATTTTGTCTTTCATTGCAATTGCTTTTGGTGTTTTATTCATGAAATCTTTGCCTATGCCTATGTCCTGAATGGTATTGCCTAGGTTTTCTTCTAGGGTTTTTATGGTTTTGGGTTTTATTTTTAAGTCTTTAATCCATCTTGAGTTAATTTTTGTATAAGGTGTAAAGAAGGAATCCAGTTTCTGTTTTCTGCCTATGGCTAGCCAGTTCTCCCAGCAGCATTTATTAAACAGGGAATCCTTTCCCCATTGCTTGCTTTTGTAAGGTTTGTTGAAGATCAGATGGATGTAGATGGGTGGTGTTATTTCTGAGGTCTCTGTTCTGTTTCGTTTGTCTATATATCTGTTTTGGTACAAGTATCATGCTGTTTTGGTTACTGTAGCTTTGTAGTATAAAACAGACACTACCCAAACAAAGACATTTATGTGGCCAACAAACCATATGAAGAAAAAAGCTCAATATCACTGGTTATTAGAGAAATGCAAATCAAAACCACAATGAGATACCATCTCACGCCAGTTAGAATGGACATCATTGAAAAGTCGGGAAACAACAGAAGCTAGTGAGGCTGTGGAGAAATAGGAATGCTTTTACATTGTTGGTGGGAGTGTAAATTAGTTCAACCATTGTGGAAGACAGTGTGTTGATTCCTCCAGGATCTAGAACCAGAAATACCATTTGACTCAACAATTCCATTACTGGGTATATAGCAAAAGGATTATAAATCTTTCTACTGTAAAGATACATGCACCCGTGTTCATTGCAGCACTATTTTCAATAGCAATGACTTGGAACAAACCCAAATGCCCATCAATGATAGACTGGATAAAGAAAATGTGGCACATATACATCATGGAATACTATCTAGCCTTAAAAGAGAATGAGTTCATGTCTTTTGCAGGGACATGAGTGAAGCTGGAAACCGTCATTCTCAACAAGCTAACACAGCAGCAGAAAACCAAACACCACATGTTCTCACTCGTAAGTGGGAGTTGAACAATAACAATAATGATCTAGTGAATTAGATCATTATCGCATTCCTACAGAGAAATAACTAAGACTGGGTAATTTAAACAAGAAAGACGTTCAGTTGGCTCACAGTTCTACAGGCTGTTCAAGAAGCATAGCTCTGACATCAGCTTCTGGGAATGCCTGAAGAAGCCTATTATCATGGCAGATGGTAAAGTAGGAGCAGGCATGTCACATTGTGGGAGTAAGAGCAACAGAGTCGGGGGAGACACTACAGACTTGTAAATGTCCAGATCTCATGAAAAATTACTCATTATCAGGAGAACTGTACCAAAGTGATGATGATAAACCATTCATAAAAATTCCTCCTTTATTATCCGATCACCTCTCACCAGGCTTCACCTCTAACATTGGGGATTACATTGCAACATGATATTTTGGTGGGGACACATATCCAAATGATATTATTCTGCCCCTGGCCCCACCCTTATCTCATGTCCTTCTCACACTTCAAAATGCAATCACATCTTCCCAATAATCCCCCAATGCTTTTACTCATTCCAATAATAACTCAAGAGTCCAACGTCTCATCTGAAACAAGGCAAGTCCTTTCCACATATATGCCTGTAAAATAAAAAAGTCGTCACTTACTTCCAAGACACAATGGCGATATAAGCACTGGGTAAACATTCCTAGAAATCAGACAAAAGAAAGGGGCTACATGCCCCATGCAAGTCCAAACCCCATCAGGGCCATCATTCACCAAAGATGGAGGACACAAAATCAACACACAAAAATCATTTGTATTTATATACGCTAACAAGAAATAACATATAAAAATTAATAAAATAATTCCACTTACAATATTTTCAAAAGGAACAACATTATTTTCAATAAAATGCTGATAAGTGTGCACTTTGCTGCACTACTTCAGTTGCTGACATACACAAGCGAGCATGGACTCTACTGCCATAACCCTGATGCAGCACTTTGGCCAGCACCACCTATTGGAATGTTGTGGCCAGCTGACTGGAAACAAATGGCTCCTCCAGTGTAACAGGTTCCTAATTTCAAGGGGCCAGATAACAAATTTGGGGACCTGGTAACAGCCCCCCAGAGTTGTAGCATGTAGTCCATGAGTAGTGAGCTGAACTTTAACCCCCTAAACACTTCAGGAATGAAGCCACTCAGCTGAAACCACCTTATGTTACCAATAGAAGGTATCTGAGTTACTGGCGGCAATTCCATATGAGTCTTCGGCAACCTCAATTCTTACCTCCTCAGAAGAAAGAATTTGACTGAGGGGAATAAGGCAGAAAAAGAGACCAAGGCAAGTTTCAGAGCAGGAGTGGAAGTTCATTCTAAAAGGCTTTAGAACAGGAAAGAAAAAAAGTATGCTTGGAAGAGATTCAAGCAGACACTGGGTCAAGTTCCCCATTTAACCCTGATGCTAGGATTTTATGGGCTGGCCCCATTCCCATGATTCTTCCCTAAGGGTCGGCTGCCCACATGTGCAGTGCCCTCCTTACCCTTGGGAAGTGAGCACACTCAGTGTGTTTAGGAAGTTGTATGCTTGCCCATCTGAAGCTTTTCTTCCCTTTTCTGGTGAAGTGCCCAGAAGTTCATACTCTGCCATTTTGTTTCTTAATGCACATGCCAGGGAAGTTGTTGTCTGCTGGTGCTTGCATTCAATTAACACTTTATTGCAACAGGTATGGAACCTCAGAAAATGGCCTCTCCTTGGTGTCAGCTGCCAGTTTATCACTTTTAGAGATGCAATGTGATAATTGCCAAAACATCATCCAACATTCCTAGTGGGTGGGGGAGAGCCCCCTCGTGATCTGCTCTTGCCTGTCTAACAACCTGTAACATTAATACCACAATCAAACTCCCAAAGGCATCAAAGAATATAAAAGGAAAAAAAACCCATTCAAGGGGCAGCTACTTCAAATATTGAACAAATATAAGCCCAAACAGATGAGAAACAGCCCACACAAGAACTCCGGCAACTCAAAAAGCCGGTGTTTTCTTACTTCCAAAAGACCACACTTCTTCCCCTGCAATGGCTTTTACCCAGGCTGAGATGGCTGAAATGACAGACATAAAATTTAGAAGATGGATAGAAATAAAAATCATCAATATTCAGAAGAAAGTCCAAACTCCATCCAAGGAATCTAAGGCATACAATTAAATGATAAGGAGCTGAAGGACAAAATGACCATTAAAAAAGAAAAAACTAATCTGATAGAGCTGAAAATCTCACTTCAAGAATTTCATAATACAGTCATATGGAGTAACAGAAAAATAGACTAAGATGAGCAAAGAAATTTGGAGCATGAAGACTGGTTTTCTGAATTAAATTAGTCGGACACAAATAGAGAAAAAACAAGAACAAAGAATGAACAAAACATTTGGGAAAAATGGGACTATGTAAAGGGACCAATCTATGACTCACTGGCTTCCCTGAAAGAGAGGAACAGAAAGTAAGCCACTTAGAAAACATATTTCAGGATATTGTTTATGAAAATTTCCCCAACCTCGCTAAAGAGGCCAACATTCCAATTCAGGAAATACAGCAAAGCCCTATGAGATACTATACAAGATGACCATTTATAAGACACATAGTCATTACATTCTCCAAGTTTGAATTGAAAGAAAATATATTAAAGGGAGCAATAGAGAAGGTGTAGGTCTGCTACAAAGGGAGCCCCATCAGGCTAACAGTGTATATTTCAGCAGAAAACCTTCAAGCCTGAAGAGATTAGCAGCCTATATTCAGAATTCTTAAAGAAAATAAATTTCAACCACAAATTTCATATCCAGCTGAACTAAGATCCATAAGTGAACAAAAAATAAGATCCTTTTCAGATAAGAAAATGCTAAAGGAATTTGTTACCACCAGAACTGCCTTATAGGAAGTCCTTAAGGGAGTGCTAAATATGGAAAATAAAGCCTATTACCAACCACCACAAAAACACGCTTAAGTACAGAGACCATTGACACTATAAAGCAACTACACAAATGAGTCTGCATAGTAACCAGCTAACAACATAGTGACAGGATCAAATTCAAACATATTGATATTAATCCTGAAATAAATGTGCTAAATGCCCTGATTAAAAGGAACAGAGGGCCAAGTTGGATAATAAAACCAAACCCAACTGTAAGCTGTCTTTAAAGGACCTATTTGACATGCAATGACACTAATAGGCTCAAAGTAAGGGGATAGAGAAAAATCTACCAAGCAAATGGAAAAGAAAAAGAGGATTTACTATTCTAATTTCAGACAAAACAGACTTTGGACCAACAACAATAAAAACGACAAAGAAGGCCATTACATAACAGTAAAGAGTTCAATTCAACAAGAAGATGTAACTATCCAAAATATATATGCACCAAACACAAGGGCAGCCAGAATCATAAAACAAGTTTCTAGACACCTATGAAGAGGCTTAGATAACCACACAATAATAGTGGGAGACTTCAACACTCTACTGACAGTGGTAGACAAATCACTGAGGCAGAAAACTAAAAAAGATATTCAGGAACTGAACTTGACACTAGTACAAATGGACCTAACAGATATCTATAGAACTCTCCACCCTAAAACAACAGAAATAATTTTTTTCTCATCTGTACATGGCACATAATCTAAAATTGACCCCTTGATTGGCCAAAAAGCTATTCTCAGAATTTTTTTTATAAACAACATTATACCAACCCCACTCTTGTATCATAGCACAATAAGTCTAAATCAAGAATAGGAAGATTGCTAAACACCATACAATTACACTGCAAATTAAACAACCTGTTAAATGATTTTGAGTAAACAATGAAATTAATGCAAACATCAAGAAATTCTTTGAAACTAATGAGAACAAAGATGCAACTTTCAAGAATTTCTGAGACACAGCTGAAGCAGTGTTAAACCCCCCACATTAAAAAGTTATAAATACCTCAAATTAAAAATCTAATCACAATTAGAGGAATTGGAAAAAACAAGAAGAAACCCAATCCAAAGATAGCAGAAGAAACTACACAACCAAAATCAGAGCTGAATGGAATAAAATTGAGTTGCAAAAAAACTACACAAAAGATCAATGAATCCAAGTATTGAGTCTTTAAACAAATAAATAAAATTGGTATACAATTAGCTAGACCAATAAAGAAACAAAAAGAGAATATCCAAATAAACACAATCAGAAATGCCAAAGGGGACATTAGAACCGACCAGACAGAAATATACAACACCTTCAGAGACCACTATGAACAACTTTATGCACAAAAGCTACAAAACCTAGAATGAATGGATATATTACAAGAGACATACAACCTGTGAAGACTGAACCAGGAGGAAGTTTAATCCCTGAAAAAGCCAATAATGAGTACCAAAATTGAATCAATGTTAAAAACATTCCAACAAGAATAAATCCAGGACCAGAGAGATTCACAGCCAAATTGTACCAGATGTATAAAGAAGAGCTGGTACCATTTCTATTCAAATTATTCCAAAATATTGAGGAATGGGGTCTCCTCCCTAACTGATTCTGCAATGCTAGCGCCATTCTGATATTAAAACCTAGCAGATACACAAAAAACTAAAGAAAACTGCAAACCAATATCCTTAATGAACATAGATGCAAAAATCCTCAACAAAATATTAGCAAACTGAATCAAGCAGCACATCAAAAAGCTAATCCACCACAATAAAGTAGGCTTTATTCCTGGGATGCAAGGTTGGTTCAACATATGCCAATCAATAAAAGTGATTCATGCTGTAAACAAAACTAAAAACAAAAGGCACATGACCATTTTAATAGATTAGGAAAAGGCTTTTGATACTGTTCAACATCCCTTCATATAAAAAAGTGTCAACAAGCTAGACTTTTGACACAGTTCAACATCCCTTCATATTAAAAACCCTCAACAAGCTAGGCTTTGAAAGAACGTATCTCAAAAATATAAGAGCCATCTACGAAAAGAGTCAGAGCAAACATTATATGGAATGGGCAACAGCTGGAAACACCACTTTTGAGAATCAGAAAAAGACCAGAATGCCTACTCTTCTCATTCCTGTTCAACATAATACTGGAAGCCCTGGCCAGAACAATCAGGCAAGAGAATGAAATAAAAGGCATCCAAATAGTAAGAGAGAAAGTCAAACTATCTCTGCTAGTCTCTGCCCCAAAGTACCTAAGTTCAGATAAAAAATACTTCAACAAAGTTTTAAAATGCAAACTCAATGTACATAAATCAGTAGCATTTTTATACATCACTAACATGCAAGCTGAGAGCTAAATCAAGAATTAAATCCCATTGCTAATAGCCACTATAAGAATAAAATACCTATGAATACAGCTAACCAGGGAAGTGAAAGATCCCTACAAGGTGAATTACGAAACACTGCTGAAAGCTATCAGAGATGACACAAATGAATGGAAAATCATTTTATGCTTATGAATGGGAAGAATCAATATTGTTAAAATGTTATATTGCCCAAAGAGATTTACAGATTTGGTGATATTTCTATCAAACTACCAATGACATTATTCACAAAATTAGAAAAACTCTGTTTTAAAATTTATATGGAACCAAAAAAGGGCCCAAATAGCCAATGCAATCCTAAGCAAAAAACAACAAAACCAAAGGCATCACATTACCCAACTTCAAAGTATACTACAAAGCTACACTAACCCAAAGAGCATGGTTCTGGTATGAAAACAGACATATAGAACAATGGAACAGAATAGAGAGCCCTGAAATAACTCTGCACAGTTAAAATCATTTGATCTTTGACAAAGCTGATTAAAACAAGCAGTGAGGAAAGACTCCCTGTGCAGTAAATGGTGCTAGAATAACTGGCTTCCCATATGCAGAAGATTTAAACTGTACCCCTTCATTTCACCATATACAAAAATCAACTCCAGATGCATTAAAGCCTTTACATTAAACGTAAAACCTAAAACTATCAATACCCTGGAAGATAACCTGGGAAATACTATTCAGGACATAGGTGCTGGCAAAGATTTCATGATGAAGACAGCAAAAACAATTGCAAGGAAAGCAAAAGTTGATAAAGGGAACTTAATTAAACCAAAAAGCTTTTGCACAGCAATAGAAGCTATCAACAGAATAAACAGACAACCTACAGAATGGGAGAAAATATTTGCAATCTATACTTCAAAGGTGTAATATCCAGAATCTGTAAGAAACTTAAACAAATTAAGAAGCAAAAACAACCCTATTAAAAATTAGGCAAAAAACATGAACAGAGACTTTTCAAAAGAAGATATACATGTGTCCAACAAGCCTATGAAAAAATGCTGAACACCACTAATTCAAGAAATGCAAATCAAAATCACAATAATATAACATCTCACACCAGTCAGTATGGTTATTACCAAAAAGTCAAAAATTACACAAAATGAAAAGTCACTATATTATGCCAGTTTTTTGGAAGTCTTAGTTTGAGATGTGTGTATTTCCTTGGAAATTGATGACTTGAAAAAAATTGCCAATTCACTGACAGTGCTTTGCAATGAAAAACAGAAGCAAGAAAAGCAAAGCACAGCAGAAAAGAAGAAAGGTGTGGTTCCTGGAGGAGGATTAAAAGCCACCATGAAAGATGATCCGGCAGATTATGGTGGTTATGATGGAGGATATGTACAAGATTATGAAGACTTCATGTGACATTTTATCTTTCTTGGTGTCATCTTTATGTTGCCCACAATCCCTTGAACATGTAGCACAACTTCCTTTCCTTTCAGTTCTGCCAAATGCTGCAATCAGAAGTGCAGTATCTTTTGTGCTGGTTATTTAATCCCTTGACACTTAGGTGCTAATGTGCAAATGAGGGAACTTGGATCTTGCTGCCAAGGGGTTAAAACTGGGAACCTAAGTTGCTACTAAATCATAGTTCAAAACCTAATAATGTTGTCATTGTAGTTATCTGATTTCATAGTAGCAGTCACTAAATTGGAAACAAAAGGTTGCAACATGACAAAAAAAAATTGTGTAGTATTTACCAGCACCATTCAGTAATACAGCCTTAACCATACCTCCTTGAACTACTTCATAACTTGTCAAGAAAAGCAGTTTGCAGGAAGGTCATGTGGTGTGCACCTAGTATTAAAGTTGCTTTGTCTTAAAACTGAACATGAGGATATTAAAAATACATTGTGAAGAAAACTTCTTATCTCAGAGTGAAGATACTGTGGCTGAAAAGCACTAGTTTGATATAAAATTAAAATGACCAAAACCCTCCAACTTTGAAGCTAAAGAAGGTAAACCTTTCCATTATTGCATTACATTTTGTGGAATCTCTTGAGTGCAAAGACTGTCTAGTTATTTATCAGGCTATTTCTACTGATGAAGTGCTTCAGGTAGGGGAGGGAAACTAATTTTTATCTGCCTGATGTAAGTGATGAGAAATAAATCTTTGTTCTCTTAGGCTGCAATGGAACAACTTTACCAGGGTTTTGGCATTTCCTTTCCTTTATAAAACATGCTCAGCAAACTGCACCAGTTAACTACAGTTTGGTCACAGTTTGGTTACAGTTTGGCCACAGTTTGGCCACAGAGATTGTGACAGAAAGGAAATGCTTATTTACTACTGTTGGGAATGTAAATTTGTTCAGCCATTGTGGAAAGCAATTTGGCAATTTCTGAATGAAAAGCTGGAAGTATTCCCTTTGAGAATTGTGATTTGATCCAGCAATCTCATCATTGGGTATATACTCAAAGGAATATAAATTGTTCTACCATAAGGACACATGCATGTGTATATTCATTGCAGCGCTGTACACAATAGCAAAGACATGGAATCAACCTAAATGCCCATCAACAGTAGACTGGATAAAGAAAATATGGTATATATACACCATGGAATACTATGCAGCCATAAAAAATGAGACCATGTCATTTCCAGGAACATGGATGGAGCTGGAGGCTATTATCCTTAGCAAACAAATGCAGGTACAGAAAACCAAATACCGCATATTATCACTTATAAGTGGGAGCTAAATGATGAGAACTCATGGAGATACGGGGGGAACAACAGACACTGGGGCCACAAAGAAAATGTTGCACATGTGCACCATGGAATACTATGCAGCCATAAAAAGAAACAAAATTATGTCCTTTGCAGCAGCATGGATGAAGTCGGAGACCATTATTCTATGTGAAGTAACACAGGAACAGAAAACCAAACATCTCATGTTGTCGTTTATAAATGAGAGCTAAACACTGTGTACTCATGCACACAATGAAGGGTATGACAGACACCAGGGCCTACTTGAGGGTGGGGAGTGGGAGGAGTGTGAAGATCAAGATCCTACTGTACACTATAGTTATTACCTGGATGAAAAAATAACCTGTATGCCAAACCCCTGTGACAGACCTATGTAACAAACCTGCACATGTACACCTCAACCTAAAATAATGGTTAACAAAAAAAACAGAAATTGCCAAGGGGAAAGACTCTCATACCTTATAATGAATCCAAGGAGATGTGGACAAGGCTTTTTTCAATAAATTTAGTAAAGAACAAATCTTGGCCAGGCATGGTGGCTCGTGCCTTCACTTTGGGAGGTTGAGGCAGTTTTCACTTTTGCAGGCTGAGGCAGAAGGATCACAGGAGCCCAGGAGTTCAAAACCAGCTGGGCCAGTAAAGAAAGATTCCTTCTCTACAATTTTTTTAAATTGTCAAGGAGAAATAAGACTTATACACTGTAAACTAAAAAATTTTGAAAAAATTAAGGAAGATGTAAATTAATAGAAAGATGTCTCATGTTTTCAGATTAGAAGACTTAATGTTATTAAGATTACAGATGCAATCCCAGTCAATATTGCAATTACTTTTTTATCAGAAATACCAAAACTTATCCTAAAGTGGAATCCTAATTTAGGTGAAATTCCATATCCTAAACATGGAAACTCTAAAAACCAATAATGGCCAAAAAAGTTGTAATGCAATTTAAAAGTTGGAGGACTTACACTTTCTTACTTTGGATTTCCTACAAATGTGTGGTAATCAAAACAATGTAGTACTTGAATAAAGACAAGCATAAATAACAATAGATTAAAATAGAGAGTCCAGAAATACACCCTCACATATATAATCAATCAAAAGGTTTTCTCCAAATATCCTTATACAATTAAGTGGAGAAAGAACAGTGTATTCTTACCTTAAGCCATATACAAAAATTTACTTAAAAATCAATCTAAAGACTTGAATGTAAGAACTAAAACTATGAAACTTTTATAAGAACACAGAAAAAGATTCATGATATTAGATATACAATGATTTTTGGATATGACACAAAAAGAACATGCAACAAAAGAAAAAGGTTTGTGAAAATTCAAAGCTTTTCTGCATTAAGAGACACTATCAAAATAGTGAAAAGACAATTCACAGAATGGGAGATACCATTTTTTATGCGAAGTATGGTGTCTCCCCATGATTTATATGTTAAGGAAGTCCTGCTCTTTAGTATCTCAGATTGTATTTGAAGATAAGCTCTTTAAAGACATAATTAAGGTAAAATGAAGTCATTGGGGTGGGTCCTAATTCAATATGACTGATGTCCTTTTAAGAAAAGGAGTTTAAGACACAGAAATGCACAGGGAAATTGCCACTTAAAGACACGGACAAAGTGGCCATCTACAAGCCAAGGAAAGAGGCCTCAAAATAGATCAACCCTCCTGGCACCTTAATTTTGGGTATCTAGTCTTCTATAATAGAACTGTAAAAATATAAATTTCTGAATATTTGATATGGTACACATAGCAAACTAATACAGAATTTTGTTCCAGAAATTGAAGGGGGGTGCTAAAGAAAATATCTACAAATACGGAAGTGGCTTTGAAACTAGATAATGGTAAAGGTTGATGTAATTCTGAGGTGTACATTACAAAAGCCTAGATTGTCTTGAAGAGTTATTTGGTAGAAATGTGGTCTTCAACAGTGACTCTGGTGAGGTTTCAAAAAAAAAAAAAGAGAAGAGCTTTAGAGAAGGCTATTACATATATACATATATTCATATATGTATATATATAGTCATGAACATCATGTCAGTAGAAATATGAATTCTAAAGTGTTACTGGTGACATCAGATAGAAATGAGGAACATGCTATTGGAAACTGCAGGAAAGGTGTTTCTTGTTTTAAAGTTTCTACAAATATTTCCCAATTTGTTCTATTGTTTTGTGGAAGATAGAATTTGTAAGTGATGAACTTTAATATTGATCTGAGAAATTTTTTAAGCAAAGCATTGAATGGATGTTCTCATTTCTCCTTGTTGCTTAGTAAAATGCAAGAGGAGAAAGACAAAGTGAAGGTTGTATTGTTACAAAAAGAGAACAAAAATATGAAGATTTGGGAAATGCTCAGTCTATACGTATGGCAAAACATGAGAAAGTATATGCCGGAGGGTGGACTAAGGGAGTGTATGTGGTGTTTAAAGGATTATGGGCTTGTGATTTATGGATCCATTCAGCCATCTCAGCAGAAGCTAGGTATGGAGATAGAGTTTTATCAGTAGAATAATTTTCAGCTTGGACTGAGTGGGATAGTGATAGGATAACATGAAGAAAAGCTGTTAATTTCTTGTTAAAATTTTGGTAGGGAATCACTTTCTATTCTATAAATATGTAAAACTATAAATTGATCATTTACAGTAAAATAAAAAGTATATTTGGTATATTGCATTGAATCTGTACATCACTTTGGGTGGTATTGCCTTATTCACAATATTAAGTTTTCCATGATCATCACGTCTTTGCATTTATTTAGATTTTCTTTATTTTTTAATCAATGGTTTATTGATTTCAATGTGCAAGCATTTTAGCTCTTTTCTTCAGTTTATTTCCTGGTATTTTAATTATTTTTTATTGACATTGCTTCTTAATGTTTCTTAGTATTTTTGGATTGTTGAATGATTTCCATGAACATAAGCGATTTTTACGTTGATCTTGTTCTGTTCAACTATGAAGAATTTGTTGCTTTACTCTAGTATCCTTTTTAAATTATTTTGGTTAATGAATGACCCAACATATATAGGTTGGGTCATTCATGAAAAGAGCTTTCCTTCTTTCTTTTCAATTGGGATGCCTTTTATTTCTTTTCTAATTGTTTTGGCTAGAACTTTCAGGAAAATATAGAATAGGTATTTGTTACAGTGGCATCTTTGTAGGGTTGTTGATCATAGAGGAAAATGTTTTAGTCTTTAACCATTGAGTATGATGTCACCAGTGGGTTTTTTTGTATATACCCTTTGTCATGTTGAGGAAGTCCACTTGTTTTAATAGATTTCTGAGTGTTTTTATCATGAAAGAATGTCAGATTTTTCAAGTGATTTTTTTTTGTGTCAATTGAGAGAATCATGGTTTGTTTCCCCTTTCATTCCATGAATGTGCTGTTACATTGATGGATTTTCTTATGTTGAAATAATCTTACATTTCTGGAATATATGCCACTTGTCCGTAGTGTATAATTATTTTAATATGATGTTGAATTCAGTTTGATAGTATTTTATTGAGGACTTTTGCATTTATACTTATAAGGAATATTGGTGTATTATATTCATGTCTTGTGAAACTTTGTCTGACTTTAGTATCAGGGTAATGCTCTTTTCATAAAACCAATTAAGAAGTATCTCTCTTGCTGTGCAGAAGCTCTTGAGTTTAATTAGATCCCATTTGTCAATTTTGGCTTTTGTTGCCATTGCTTTTGGTGTTTTGGACATGAAGTCCTTGCCCACGCCTATGTCCTGAATGGTAATGCCTAGGTTTTCTTCTAGGGTTTTTATGGTTTTAGGTCTAACGTTTAAATCTTTAATCCATCTTGAATTGATTTTTGTATAAGGTGTAAGGAAGGGATCCAGTTTCAGCTTTCTACATATGGCTAGCCAGTTTTCCCAGCACCATTTATTAAATAGGGAATCCTTTCCCCATTGCTTGTTTTTCTCAGCTTTGTCAAAGATCAGATAGTTGTAGATATGCGGCATTATTTCTGAGGGCTCTGTTCTGTCCCATTGATCTATATCTCTGTTTTGGTACCAGTACCATGCTGTTTTGGTTACTGTAGCCTTGTAGTATAGTTTGAAGTCAGGTAGTGTGATGCCTCCAGCTTTGTTCTTTTGGCTTAGGATTGACTTGGCGATGCGGGTTCTTTTTTGGTTCCATATGAACTTTAGAGTGAACAGGCAACCTACAACATGGGAGAAAATTTTTGCAACCTACTCATCTGACAAAGGGCTAATATCCAGAATCTACAATGAACTCAAACAAATTTACAAGAAAAAAACAAACAACCCCATCAAAAAGTGGGCGAAGGACATGAACAGACACTTCTCAAAAGAAGACATTTATGCAGCCAAAAAACACATGAAGAAATGCTCATCATCACTGGCCATCAGAGAAATGCAAATCAAAACCACTATGAGATATCATCTCACACCAGTTAGAATGGCAATCATTAAAAAGTCAGGAAACAACAGGTGCTGGAGAGGATGTGGAGAAATAGGAACACTTTTACACTGTTGGTGGGACTGTAAACTAGTTCAACCATTGTGGAAGACAGTGTGGCGATTCCTCAGGGATCTAGAACTAGAAATACCATTTGACCCAGCCATCCCATTACTGGGTATATACCCAAAGGACTATAAATCATGCTGCTATAAAGACACATGCACACGTATGTTTATTGCGGCACTATTCACAATAGCAGAGACTTGGAACCAACCCAAATGTCCAACAATGATAGACTGGATTAAGAAAATGTGGCACATATACACCATGGAATACTATGCAGCCATAAAAAATGATGAGTTCATGTCCTTTGTAGGGACATGGATGAAATTGGAAACCATCATTCTCAGTAAACTATCGCAAGAACAAAAAACCAAACACCGCATATTCTCACTCATAGGTGGGAATTGAACAATGAGATCACATGGACACAGGAAGGGGAATATCACACTCTGGGGACTGTGGTGGGGTCGGGGGAGGGGGGAGGGATAGCATTGGGAGATATACCTAATGCTAGATGACACGTTAGTGGGTGCAGCGCACCAGCATGGCACATGTATACATATGTAAGTAACCTGCACAATGTGCACATGTACCCTAAAACTTAGAGTATAATAAAAAAAAAAAAGAAGTATCTCTCCTCTTCTAATTTTTAGAAGATTTTGAGAAATATTGGTGATAATTTATTAAATGTGTGATGTAATTTACCAGTGAGGCCATCTGGTCCTGGATTTTCTTTGTTGGGAGTTTTTTTAATGCTAATTATCTATTTATTTATTGTACATGAATAAGTTTTTTAGTGGTGATTTGTGAAATTTTGTGCACCCATCACCCAAGCAGTGTACACTGTACCCAATGTATAGTCTTTTATCCCTCACCACCTTCTCCCCCTTTCCCCTGAGTCCCAAAAGTCCACTGTATTATTCTTATGCCTTTGCATCCTCGTAGCTTAGCTCCCACTTATGATTGAGAACATACAATGTTTAGTTTTGCATTCCTGAATTATTTCACTCAGAATAACGGTCTTCAATTTCATCCAAGTTGCTGAGAATGCCATTATCTCATTCCTTTTTATGGCTGAGTAGTATTCCATGGTGTGTATGCGTGTGTGTATATATATATATATATGAATGTGATATATATATATGAATGTGATATATATATGAATGTGATATATATATATGAATGTGATATATATATATAGGAATGTGATATATATATATATGTATATATATATCACATTTTCTTTATCCACTCATTGATTGATGGGCATTTGGGCTGGTTCCATATTTTTGCAATTACGAATTGTGCTGCTATAAACATGCAGGTACAAATATCTTTTTGGTATAATAACTTCTTTTTTTTCCTGGGTAGATACCCAGGAGTGGCATTGCTAGTTCCAATGGTAGTTCTACATTTAGTTCTTTAAGTAATCTCCATGCTGTTTTCCATAGTGGTTGTACTAGTTTACATTCCCACCAGCAATGTAAAAGTGTTCCCTCTTCATCACATCCACGCCAACATCTATTGTTTTAGGATTTTTTGATTATAGGCATTCTTGCGGGAGTAAGGTGGTATCACATTGTGGTTTTGATTTTCATTTTTCTGATCATTAGTGATGTTGAGTATTTTTTATATGTTTGTTGGTCATTTGTATATCTTCTTTTGAGTATTCTCTATTCATGTCCTTAACCCACTTTTTGGATGGGATTGTTTGTTTTTTCTTACTGATTTGTTAGAGTTCCTTATAGAGTCTGGATATTAGTCCTTTGTTGGATGTAGAGACTGCAAAGATTTTCTCCCACTTTGTGGGTTGTCTGTTTACTCTGCTGATTATTTCTTTTGCTGTGCAGAAGCTTTTTAGATTAATTAAGTTCCATCTATTCATTTTTTTTGTTTCATTTGCCTTTGTATTTTGAGTCATGAAGTCTTTGCCTAACCCAATGTCTAGGAGGGTGTTTCCGATGTTATCGCCCAGAATTTTGATGGTTTTTGGCCTCAGATTTAAGTCTTTGATTCATTTAGAGTTGATTTTTGTATAAGGTGAGAGATGAAGATCCAGTTTCATTCTCCTACATGTGGCTTGCCAATTATCTCAGCACCATTTGATGTAGAGTGTCCTTTCCCCATTTTGTGTTTTTGTTTGCTTTAATGAAGATCAGTTGGTTATAAGTATTTGGCTTTTATTTCTGGCTTCTCTATTCTGTTCCATTGGTCTCTATGCCTATTTTGATACCAGATTTTTTCTTTTTGCTTAGTTTTGATTTCACTGTGTGAGCTCTTTTTTGATTTCACATGAATTTTAGGATAGTTTTCTCTAGTTCTGTGATGAATGATGGTGGTATTTTAACGGGAATTGCATTGAATTTGTAGATTGCTTTGGGCAATGTGGTCATTTTCACAATATTAATTCTACTCTTCCATGATCATGGGATGTGTTTCCATTTGTTTGTGTCATCTATGGTTTCTTCCAGCCTTTCAGTAGTTTTCCTTGTAGATGTCTTTCGCCTCCTTGGTTAGGTATAGTCCAAAGTTTGTTTGTTTGCTTGTTTGTTTGTTTTGCAGCTGTTGTAAAAGGGGTTGAGTTTTTGATTTGATTCTCAGCTTGGTCACTGTTGGTGTATAGCAGAGCTACTGATTTGTGTGCATTAATTTTTTATCCAGAAACTTTGCTGAATCAGTTTACCAGTCCTAGGAGCTTTTTGGATGAATCTTTAGGGTTTTTCAGGTATACAATCATGCCATCAAAAAACAGTGACAGTTTGAATTCCTCTTTACTGATTTGAATGCCTTTTACGTCTTTCTTTTGTCTGTCCTGTGTAGGACTTCCAGTACTATGTTGAAGAGAAGTTGTGAAAGTGGACATCCTTCTTCCAGTTTTCAGGGGGAATGCTTTCAGCTTTTCCCAACTCAGTATAATGTTGGCTGTCAGTTTGTCATAGGTGGCTTTTATTACCTTAAGATATGTCCCTTCTATGCCAATTTTCTGAGTGTTTTAATCATATAGAAATGCAGGATTTTGTCAAATGCTTTTTCTGTGTCTATTGAGATTATCCTGTGATCTTTGTTTTTAATTCTCTTTACATGGTGTTTCACATTTATTGACTTCTGTATGTTAAACCATCCCTGAATCTCTCATATGAAACTCACTTGATCGTGGTAGATTATCATTTTGATATGCTGTTGGATTCTTTTAGCTAGCATTTAGTTGATGATTTTTGCATCTATGTTTGTCAGAGTTATTGGTCTGTAGTTTGTTGTTGTTGTTGATATGTCCTTTCCTGGTTTTGGTATTAGGGTGATATTGGTTTCATTGAATGACTTAGGGATGATTCCCTCTTTCTCTATCTTTTGGAATAGTGTCAATAGGATTGGTACCAATTTTTCTTTGAATGTCTGATAGAATTCAGCTGTGAATCTGCCTGGTCTTGGACTTTTTTGGTAACTTTTTAATTACCATTTGAATCTTGCTGCTTGTTATTGGTCTGTTCAGAATAGGCATTTCTTCCTGGTTTAATCTAGGAGGGTTGTATATTTCCAGGAATTTATCTATTTCCTCTAGGTTTTCTAGTTTATGCATGTAAAGGTGTTCCTAGTAACCTTTAATAATGTTTTTCATTTCTGTGGTATCAGTTTTAATATCTTCTGTTTCATTTCTAATTGAACTTATTTGTATCTTATCTCCTCTTTTCTTGGTTAATCTTGCTAATGGTCTATCAATTGTATTAATCTTTTCAAAGAAGCAGCTTTTTGTTTCATTTATCCTTTGTATTTTTTTTTTCTTAATTTCATTTAGTTCTGCTCTGATCTTGATTATTTCTTTTCTTCTGCTGGGTGTGAGTTTGGTTTGTTCTTGTTTCTCTAGTTCCTTGAGGTGTGACCTTAGATAGTCTATTTCTGCTCTTTCAGACTTTTTGATATAGGCATTTAATGTGAAGCTTTTAAATAAACAATTTATTCTTTTTTGTTTTTATAGCTGTTGGGAATTTCCAATTCCTTCTTACATCAGATTAGGTTATTTGTATATTTCTATAATTTTTTAAATTTAATCTAATTTATCTAATTTGTCAGTGTACAATTATTCATAGTCTATCTGATAATTTTTTATTTCTGTATGATTGGTAGTAATTTTCCCATTTTCAATTTTTAAAAAATTGTGTTTAAATATACATAACATAAAATTTACTGTTATAACTATTTTAAGCATACTATTTTGTGATAGTAAGTATATTCACATTGTTGTACAACCATCACTACCTTTTGTCTGTCAGACTTTTTCATTTTCCCCACTGGAACTCTCTAGACATTTTTTTACTAACTCTCCATTCTCCTCTTCTTCCAGTCTCTGGCAGCCACCGCTGTACTTTCTATTTCCATAAATTTGACTATTCTAGGTACTTCATTTAAGTGAAATGAAAGGAATATTTGTCATTTTTGAATGTCTTTTTTTTTACTTATTACAATGTCTTCAAGGTTTATTTATGTTGCAGTATGTATCAAAATTTTATTCCTTTTTAAAGCTGACTAATATTTCATTGTATGTGTCTATCACTGCTATGGGTTAAATTGTGTTCTGCCCTTAATTTATATGTCAAATTCCTAACTGCAAATGTTACTGCAATTGAAGATAAGGTATTTAAGAGATAATCAAAATTAGAGATCCTAAGGGTGAAGCTATAAGACGAGGTTATCTACCACATGAGACACAGCAAGAACAAGGCCATATGCAACCCAAGGAGGGATATCGCACAAAACACCAACCATGCTGGCAGTTTGATATTGGACTTAACAGTTTCCAGAACTACTAAGAGAAAATAAATTTCTGTTGTTTCAGCTACCTATTTGTGGTATTTTGTTATTACAGCTCAAGTAGATGAACAGATGAACATAACCACCTTTTGTTTATTCATTTGTCTGTCTATGGATCTTTGGTTTGCTTCTATATTTTGGTTATTATAAATCATGCTACTATGAACATGGATGAATAAATATCTGTTCTATTTTCTGCTTTTGATTCATTAGGTATATAAACAGAAGTGGAATTGGTAGATCACATGTTAATTCTGTTTAGCATTTGAGAATCTGCTATTCTGTTTTCTACAGCTCCTGCACTGTTTTACATTCTCACCAGCAATGTGAGTATCTTCCAGTTTCTCCACATCATTAAAAACACTTATTTTTTTCCTATTCTGAAAAATTACAGCTATCTTAATGTATGTGAGCTGCTATATCATTGTGGTCTTGATTTCATTTCTCTAAGGGCTAGTGAAATTTAACATTTTAATGTGCTTACTGGCCATTTGTATATTTCTTTGAAAAAATATCTATTGAATTGTTTGCCCAATTTTATTTTTTTTAGTTGAGTTCTTTATGTATTCTGGATATTAATTCCTTATCACATATATTTGACACTTTGTTTGCAGACACTTCTTTCAATAGTTGGGTTCATTATTACTCTGTTCATAGTGCTCTTTGATGTATAAAAGTGCTTAATTTATCTAGTTTTTCTCTTGTTCTCTGTGCTTTTTTTTTTTGGCCTTATCAAATCCAATGTCATGAAAATTGCCCAGAGTGTTTTCTTCTAGTAATTTTATAGTTTTAGCTCTTAACTGTAGGTGATGGAACCATTTTCAGTAAATTTTTGTGGGGTATATGGTAAAGGTACACCTTCATTGTTTTGTATGTTAACAAAATTTGTTTTTTTTTTTTTTTTTTTTTTTTTGAGACGGAGTCTCGCTGTCGCCCAGGCTGGAGTGCAGTGGCGCGATCTCGGCTCACTGCAGGCTCCGCCCCCTGGGGTTCACGCCATTCTCCTGCCTCAGCCAACAATATTTGTTGAAAAGACCATCCTTTCTTCATTGAATGGTCTTGTCATCTTTGCGAAAATATGTTTTACCACATAGGTGATGGTTTATTTTGGAGTTCTGTTTATTATTTCATTGACTTACATGTGTTTTTTATGCCAGTACCACACTGTTTTGATTTTCATTGCTTTATAGTAAGTTTTGAAATCAAGAAGTCTGAGACTCAAGTTTTTTTGTTCTTTTTCAAGAATGCTTTGACTATTCAAGATCCCTTATGATTGTGTATGAATTTTGGGTGGTTATTTCTATTTTTGCAAAATGTCATGGAATTTTTATAGGAATTTTTATAAGGATTTCATTGAATTTGTAGTTATTGTTTGTTGGTACCAATATTTTTATTTTTAATTTTTCCAATTCATAAAATATGATGTTCTTCCATTTGTTTGTCTTCTATAATGGTTTTGACAATGTTTTGTAGTTTTCAGTGCACATGATTTTTACTTATGTGGTTAAGTTCAATCATAAGTATTTTATTCTTTTTGTTGCTACTGTAAATGCAATGGTTTTCTAAACTTTTCAGATTGTTTGTGGTTAATGGGCAGAAACAGAAGTAATTTTGTGTATTAATTTTATCTGCAACTTTGCTGAATTTGTTTATTTGGTCTCACACTTTATTTGGTAAGAACTTTAGAAAATTTTAATATATAATATTATGTTAACTGTAATTAGTGACAATTTTATTTTTTTATTTCCTATTTTGTTGCCTTTTGGTTTTTGATTTACCTAATACCTCTGTATAGGACTTCCAGAACTATGCTGCGTATAAGTGGTCAAAGTAGGCATCCTTGCCATGCTTTCAAGCCTTTCACCAATGAGTATGATGTCAGCTGTGGATTTGTGATATATGGCCTTCATTATTTTGAGGTAGTTTCCTTCTATTTCTAGAATGTCTGTATTATTAAAAAGTGTTGAATTTTGTCAAATGCTTTTTCTGCATCAATTAATATAATCATATGACGCTTCCCCCCTTGTTTTGTTAATTTGTCATATCATACATATTAAATTACATATATTGAACATCTTTTCTGGAAGAAATCATACTTTTTCATAATATATAATGTTTTAAATATGCTATTTAATTCAATTTACTTACATTTTATTGCAGCATTTTGCATTAATATTCATAAGGGATATTGTTCTGTAGTTTTCTTATTTGCACGTCCTTGTTTTCATATAAGGGTAATGCTGACCTAAAGAAATGAGGTAGGAAGTTTTCACCCTCTTTAATTTTTTGGAAGTTTTAGAAAGATTGGTGTTAATTCTTTACATGTTTGTTAGAATTCTCTAGTGAATCTATCTGGTCTTGGGCTTTTCTTTCTTGGGAAGTTTTTGGCTACTGATTACATCTCTTAACGAGTTACAGGTCTTATCAAATTTCTTATTTTTTCATGGTTCAGTCTCTATAGCTTGCATATTTATAAAAATTTATATATTGTATTTAGCTTATCGAATTTATTAGTGTATAATTCTTCATATTATTCCTTTATAACATATTTATTTCTGTCAAATCAGTAGTACTGTCCCTGTATTTCAATTTTAATCTTATCTCTTTTTATTAGATAACATAGCTAAGGATTTGTCAATTTTGTTTATATTTTCAAAATACCAACTCTTGGTTTCATTGATTTTCTCTATTGTTTCTCTATTCTCTGTTTTATTTATTTAATGTCTATTCTTTATTATTTTCTTCCTTCTTCAGCTTTGGGTTTAGTTTGTTCTTGTTTTTCTAGTTTCTTAAAAGGTAATATTAAGTTATTGATTTAAAATTGTTCTTTTTTAATGTTAACATTTACAGCTATAAACTTTCTGTTGAGCACTGCTTTCATTTCTTCTCATATGTTTTGGCACGTTGTGTTTTCACTGTTACTGATTTCAAAGTATTTTCTAAGTTTACTTGTTATATATTCTTTGACCTATTGGTTGTTAAAAATTGTCTAATTTTAACATATTCATGATATTTCAATTTTTCTTTTGTTTTTGATATTTAGCTTTATGTGTTTTGGTCAGGGTGATACTTGGCATGAATTCAATATTTTTAAATGCACTGAAACTTGTTTGTGGCCTAATACATGATTTATTATTGACAATGTTATATGTACAATGAGAAGTAGATGTATTGTGCAGTTATTGGGTGTAGTGTTCTACAGATGTCTGACAGTTGCACATGGTTTACAGTGTTGGTCAAGTTTTATATTTCTTTATTGATCATCCATATAGTTACTATGCTATTAAAAATGATGTATTGAAGTATCCAACTATCATTTTAGAATTGTCTATTTATCCCTTCAATTCTGCCAATGTTTGCTGCTTATAATTTGGGATTCTTCTGTGCATATGTGTTTATAATATTTGTATCTTCTTGATGAATTGAAACATATCCGTGTACAATGTCTGATATCTTTTGTAACAGTTTGATTACATTTTATTTTGTCATATAGTATGGCTACTTAAGCTCTGTTTTGGTTACAACTGTAATGACATATCTTTTCCTATCTGTTATGTGTTATCCTGTGTCTCTAATAATAATATATTGAAGTTTTAACCCTAGTTGCATATAAATATGGCCTAACTTTGAAGTAAGGTGTTTGTAGTTGTAATCAAGTTAATATAAGATGGGTAGAGTTGGCTCCAAGTCAATATGACTCGGGTTCATATAAGAAGAGACACACACACAGAATATGCTAAGTGACAAGGGAAGCTGAAATAAGAGTTACACTGCAAAAAGCTAAGGAGTGCCTGAAGCATCCTGAAGCTGAAAACAACAAGGAAATATTCTCCCATAAAATCTTTGGAGGAAGGACGACCCTGCCAATATTTGGGTTTTGAACTTATTGCCTCCAGAAGAGTCAGACAATACGCTTTTCTTGTTTTAGTATGCTAGTTTTTGATACTTTTTAATGGCAGCCCTAGGACATTGATGTGCCATCCTTTCACTTTCAAACTATGTCTCTATGAATCTTGTTTTGATTTTAATGTGGTGTCTCTTCTAAAATTCATATTTAAACTCCATAACTATTGTGGGGATATTAAAAGTTGAGACCTTTTTGGAAGTGATTAATTCATGAGGAATCCATGATGAATGAATTACTGACCTTACAAATGATGTTACAGAAAGAGTTCACTCCTTTTACCCCTTCTGCCTTCAAATGTAAGGATGCTATGATGAGTAGACATCATTGAGTAGACATCATTGATGGAACAGGTCCTCACCAGGAAGCAATGCTGCTGCCTTAGTCTTGAACTTCTCAGACTTCAAAACTATATATATATATATATATATATATATATATGCTTAAATTTTTCTTTCTTTGGTTGCTTTTAAGATGTACATATTGCTATACATGCATATACTCTATATGTGTATATATAGTATATACATAATATACTGTATTATATAATTAATATATATACATAATATATACTCTATATATAGTAATATGTAATATAATATATAAATACACATTATATATACTATATATACACATAATATATATACGATATAGTATATATTATATAATATATATATGCATATATACTATATAGTATATATAATATATACTATATAGTAATGTGCATATATATAATATATACTATATCATATATATATTATATAATATAATATATATACACATATATATACACAGAGTATATATACACATAGAGTATAAATTTTTATATAGTACACACACACACACACACACACACACATATATACATATACATATATATAAAATGTGTTACCCAGTCTGTGGTACTTTCTTATAACAGAAATGGATTAAGAAAGCTCTAAAATTAGTAGTCTTTAGTGGAATCCGTACAGTTTGATCATTTTAAAAAATCCAGTCTACCAATCTTTCTTTTGAATAGATATTTTAATCTACTTACATGTAATGTAATTAGTGACAAAGAAGGGCTTTCTTTTTTTATTTTGCTGTTTGTCTTCTGTATGTCATATGCTTTACAAATCCCTCATTTTCTCTAGTACGGCTTTTTATTTGTTTAGTTGAATTTTTTAGTGAACCATTTTAGTATCTGTGTCATTCTTCATGTATATATTTTAGATATTTTTGTGGTTACTGTGAGAATCATATTTAACACCTTAAATTTATAGCAATCTGGTTTGAATTGTTAGCAACTTAATTTTGATGGCATGATAAAACTATGCTGCTATATAATTCTGTCTTCCCTTTATGTTGTTTTTGCAGAAAATTTTATCTTTGGTCATTTGCATGCCCAAGAACATATTTATGATTACTTTTTAAAAAATGACCTTTAAATCATGTAGAAAATAAAAAAATAAAGTTGTAAACCAAAATACAATAATAATGGCTTTTATATTTACTCATATATTAATCATAACAGATGTCTTTATTTTTTCATATAATTGTAGGCTACTGTCTAGTGTCTTTTCATTGTAACCCAAAACACCACATTTAGTTTTCTTGTAGCAAATGTCTAGTGGTAACAAATTCCTTCAGGTTTTGTTTATCTGAGACTGTCTTAATTTCTTCCTTACTTCTAAGAACAATTTATTTCTGGTGTAGAATTCTTGGTTTTCCCTATTTTTTATTTCATTACTTTAAGTATGTTATCACACTGTTTTCTGGCCTCCACGGTTTCTGATGAGAAAGTGGTAATAAATCTTATTAAGCATCCTTTCTACAGGATAAGTCACCTTTCTTTGGCTGCTTTCAGGATGATTTTCCTTTAGCTTTCAACAATTTGAGTATAATGTGTCTCATTGTGAGACAATGAGTTTAATCTACCTGGAGTTTGTTGATGTTGTTTGTTGTGTGGATACATGTATGTCATCAAATTTGAGGTGTTTGGGCCACCATTTTTTCAAAAATTGTCTCTGCTTTTTCTTTTCTTTTTTATTCTATGAAGCCCTCTGCATGGTGTCTCATGGGGTCCTTATGATCTATTCAACTTCCTTCATTCTCTATGGACTTTTTCTCCTCAGACTGTATAATTTTAATTCTCTCATCTTCCATTTCACTTATCCTTTCTTCTCCATGTTCAAATCTGCTTTTGAACTCCTGTATTAAATTTTGATATCAGTTATTGTAATTTTTAGCTCCATATTTCTCCTTTCTTCCTTTCTATAATTTTTATCCCTTTATTGATACTCTCATTTTTTACATTTTCCTGGATTATTTTTAGGTCTTTCTCTACAATTTACTTTAGTTCTTTGAATGCATTTAGAAGAGTTAAAGTCTTTATCTAGCAAGTCCAAAGCCTATGATTTCACAGGATGGCTTCTACCTATTTATTTATTTTTTTGTATAAATGGGCCATATTTTTCTGTTACTTTAAATTCCTTGAAACTTTTTGTTAAAAACCAGACAATTAAATATTACAATGTAGTAATACCAAAAGTAAGATTCTCCTTCTTTCTTTCCATCTGCTTTATTTAAAAAAGTTTAAGATCACAGTGGTTCACTTGTCTCGTAACATTTTCAGTTCAACTATTTAATGTTTTTTTTCTTTTTTTAAGCCTAATTTTGGGGAATTAAAAATTATCTTTTGGTGTATTAACCTAGTTAGTGAGAGTAGTTAAGGTACAGTTCCCTGACGAAGTGATATTTGAACTGATACCTACAGCATGCAGGATGATATTAATATACTATGACTGATAATATGTGCATACATTATTCTAAGTGATTTCCAAAAATTTACCCATAAATTTAGGTGAAAACTACAGATTTTCTCAGGTTTTTATGAGTAGATGTGTTGCTCTGAAGATAATTGCAGCTTTCTAAATTCCTCAACATACGTGGGGAATTTAGATAGACCTCATTTTGCAAAGTCACTCTTTCCCTGGCTTTTCCTCTTAGGTTTTAGTTGGGCTACTATAGGATACAACCTTAATTTTTCTCAAATGTCTGAAAGCTGTTTGTTCATATTATAATGTTTTTGAGCAATGCCCATCACTTTTCTGGCATGGGTGTGTTCTGAGGTAGGCCAAACAGAGACAAATGCCTTCCATAACTCTTTCAAGTAGACTTCATAGATGTTAGAAAAGACTTATCCAACAATTTGTGATTAGGATTTGTTCTGTTCCTTCATAGACAGGACATAGTATCCTGTACTAAGAATACAGGCTTCTCTCTTTTAGGCTCTTGCCAAACCAGAAAGAAAATAAGGCAAGCCAGTTAAAAATATTATAAAGCTTTCCTACTATCTTAACTTTATTGTTTTTAGTGTTTGCATATTTGCTGTAAACCTTTGACTGCTTTTTCAGAGTTCTCACCAAGTTGTTTCTTACAGTTTCTTTTTTTTTTTTTCAATATTTATGTTGGAGGATGGAAGTGTGTAACAGACTACTCTGCCATTTTGTGGACATCATTCCCATGAAATATTTTTAATAAAAATTCTTATCTGACCCTGGTAAATTAGTGCATAGTAAGCATTTACTATTTATTTTTTGAGTTGCCTAAACTATTCAATGTTTTCTCTTTATTTAATCCTTATTTGGGGGAATAAAACTTTTTAAGTTGGTGTGTTAATTTAGTTAGTGAGAGTAGATAAGATACAGTTCCCTGAGGAAGTGACATTTAATCTGATACCTACAATACACATGATAATATTAATATGCTTGACTAATAATATCTACATACATTATTCTAAGTGATTTCCAAGAATTTACTCATAAAATTATTTTATTCAGCAAATGTTATTTAGTACCAACTAAGTTCTAAGCACTGTTCTGGGAGTTAGTGATATAGCAGTTAAAGAGCCAACATCCTTAATTCATAAAAGTTACATTCTAGAGATAGAAAATCCCTGTGAGTTAGGTATTAGTGTCATCCCCATTTTATGTTGATGTAACTGAAGTACTAAGCTGTTAGTTACATAACTTGTTCAATGTCCATGCAGAGAACTACTAGGAAACATTCCAGTCTGAGCCACCAGGACAGACTTACCAGCTTCTGCCTCATAGCAGATCCTTTAGGAGCTCTGTCTCAGCTCCAGGCCCTCTCTGCAATATTCAGGGAGCTATACCATCCGTACAGTAAGTAGTTGGAAGAATCCTCTCTCTGTGCCATCACGACAGGCTTGCCAACATCCATCCCACAGCAGACCCTGAAGGAATACTGAAGCTTGACTCCAGTCCCTCTAATGTACAGCCTAATGTCAATCCTGATGGCACAAAAAAACTACTGGGAGATGCAGTCATTTGTGCCAAGTGGACAGGCTTGCTGGTCTACATCCCACAGCAGATAATAAAAGGGCTTTCTCTTGTTCCCAGCCGCTCTCTGAAACAGCTCCAGAATTATCCCGCCTGGGCAAGGAACTCATGGAAGATGCACCTGGACAAGCTTGCTGGCCTCTTCCCCATGGCAGTTTCCGAAGGGGCCCTGAAATTTAGTTCCAGCCTCTATCAGCTGTGGTATGCAAGCAATCCTGCACACATAGGGTACTGCTGAGAGTCTCACTAGCTAGTACAGCTAGGTTGGGCTTGCCAATATAGGTCCCACAGTAGGTTCTACATTAGCTATTATACTAAGTTTGAGTGTATTCCATCTGTAGTCTTGGAGTAGTTCTGTCCAGCTGGGGTCCCACCAGGAGTTATGGCCATCTGAGTCCATGTGGCAGGCTTGCCAAACTCTGAATCCTCAAACATCCCGATCTCAGTCCTGTTCACCCTTGGGTGTGGACTTACAGTGGTTCTGCCAGCCTGAGGATCTGGAGGGAGGCAGGTTGATCCGTGCCCCTGCAGGCTGATGCCCTGACATTGGTCACATTGTGGATCTTGACATGGCCTTATTAACTGACAACAGCCCTTCTCAAACTCCATTTGAAATTAGGATCATGTTTACCAAGGAATCCAATAGAAGACATGCTTAGTTGTGTCTTTTAAAATAAGCCTGAGGATCTTAGTCTTGGCTGTGGACTTGAAACAAGACTGTGTCTCAATTTTAGCCTATATGGATACGTAATAGAAAGAGACTTTAACTTGTTGAAACCAGTGTGTAGCAATAAAAGATGGGTTTTTTTGAAATAATAAGATGTTGACAAAAAGCTATATGGATAACAAATAATTAAGAAAACATGATACCACCAAAATACTTGTAAAGTTCAAATCATTAACCAAAAAAATAGATATATGCAAATTCTCTGAGCCATAATTCAAAAGAATCATCTTAAAGCTCAATAAGATGTAAAACAGACACACAACTAAATGAAATTGGGAAAGCAATATATGAACAGAAAGAGATAATAAAGATAATGGAAATCATACAAAAGAACCAGAAATCCTGAAGTTGAAGAATACAATGGGACAACTGAAAAATTCAGTAGATAGTTTCAACAGCAAACTTGATCATGCAGAAGAAAAAAATTAACAAAGTCAAAAACAGGTTATTGGAAATTAGCCAATTAAGAAAACAAAAAATATATGATTTATGAAAGTTAAGAAAGCATAGCAAATTGGGTAACCAGGAAACACACAAATACATGAATTATGACAGTATCCAAAGGAAATAAAAGATGCAAAGAGGCAAAAAGCTTATTTAAAGAAATATTATCTATAAACTTCCCAAATCTTGGCAGGGATATGAACATACAGATGCAGTAAGCCCAGAGGACCTTAAGAAAAATTACTTCAAAAAAAGAATACTTTGAGACATATTATAATGAAAATGTCAAAAGACAAAGATAAAGATAAAATTTTGAATGAAACAAGAAAAAAGAAAGTGTTAAATATTACAATATCCCATAAAGCTGTCAAAGGACTTATCAACAGCAAACTTGTAGGCCAGGAGAAAGTGAGTGAGATGACATATTCAAAGTGATTATGAAAAACAATGTCAACCAAGAATATTATACCCTGCAAAGCTCTTTTTCAGTAATAAAGAAGAGATGAACACATTCCAAGGCAAACGAAAGCTGAAGGAGTTTAAAAACACAAGACCAGCCTCACAAGAAATACTAAAGGGGATTCTTTGAGTTGAAACAAAAGATAGTAAGTAACAATGTGAAAACATATACAAGTATAAAACTGACAGATAAAAGTAAACATAGTCAAATCCAAAATACTCATACTGTAATGTCAGTGAGTAAATCCCAGATAATGCAAGTATAAGAGTAAAATAGAGATTGCTGGCAAGATGGCTGAATAGGAAGAGCTCCAGTCTGCAGCTCTCAGCGAGATCAATGCAGAAGGCGGGTGATTTCTGCATTTCCAAATGAGGTAACTGGTTCATCTCATTGGGACTGGTTGAACAGTGGGTGCAGCCCATGGAGGGCAAGCCAAAGCAGGGTGGGGAGTCATTTCCATTTCAGATGGAAAACACTCTTCAGGGTATTATCCAGGAGAACTTTCCCAACCTAACAAGGTGGGCCAACATTCAA
Source organism: Homo sapiens (assembly GCF_000001405.40). Taxonomy (NCBI): domain Eukaryota; kingdom Metazoa; phylum Chordata; class Mammalia; order Primates; family Hominidae; genus Homo; species Homo sapiens. The sequence goes on along the minus strand of NC_000023.11, from coordinate 82,476,607 downwards.
ATTCAGGAAATACAGAGAATACCCCTAAGATACTCCTCAAGAAGACCAACCACAAGACACATAATCGTCAGATTCACCAAGGTTGAAATGAAGGAAAAAATGTTAAGGGCAGCCAGAGAGAAAGGTCAGGTTACCCACAAAGGGAAGCCCATCACACTAACAGCAGATCTCTCGGTGGAAACCCCACAAGCCAGAAGAGAGTGGGGGCCAATATTCAACATTCTTAAAGAAAAGAATTTTCAACCCAGCATTTCATATCCGACCAAACTAAGCTTCATAAGCGAAGGAGAAATAAAATTCTTTACAGACAAGCAAATGCTGAGAGATTTTGTCACCACCAGGCCTGCCTTACAAGAGCTCCTGAAGTAAGCACTAAACTTGGAAAGGAACAACCAGTACCATCCACTGCAAAACATGCCAAATTGTAAAGACCATCGATGCTATGAAGAAACCGCATGAACTAATGGGCAAAATAACCAGCTCAAATCAAAATGACAGTATCAAATTCACACATAAAAATATTAACCTTAAGTGTAAACGAGCTAAATGCCCCAATTAAAAGACACAGACTGGCAAACTGGATAAAAAGTAAGGAACAATCGATATGCTGAAATGAGGAGACCCATCTCATATGCAAAAACACACATAAGATCAAAATAAAGGGATGGAAGAATATTTACCAAGTAAATGAAAAGCTAAAAAGAAGCAGGGGTTGCAATCCTAGTCTCTGATAAAATAGACTTTAATCCAACAAAGATCAAAAGAGACAGAGAGGTGTATTAAAAAATGGTAAAGGGATCAATGAAACAAGAAGAGCTAACTATTTTAAATATATATGCACCTGATACAGGAGCACCCAGATTTATAAACCAAGTTTTTGAGACCTACAAAGAGACTTAGACTTCCACACAATAATAGTGGGAGACTCTAACACTCTACCGTCAACAGTCGAGAGATCAACAAGACAGAAAAGTAACAAGGATATTCAGGAATTGAACTCAGCTCTGGACCAAGTGGACCTAAAAGACATCTACAGAACTATACACCCCAAATCAACAGAATATACATTCTTCTCAGCACCACATCATGCTTATTTTAAAATTGACCACGTAATTGAAAGTAAAACACTCCTCAGCAAATGTTAAAGAACAGAAATCCAAACAAACTGTCTGAGAACACAGCACAATCAAACTAGAACTCAGGATTAAGAAACTCACTCAAAACCACACAACTACATGGAAACTGAAAAACCTGCTCCTGAATGACTACTAGGTAAATAGCGAAATGAAGGCAGAAATAAAGATGTTCTTTGAAACCAATGAGAACAAATACACAACGTACCAGAATCTCTGGGACACATTTAAAGCAATGTGTAGAGGGAAATTTATAGCACTAGATTCCCACAAGAGAAAGCAGGAGAGATCTAAAACTGACACCCTAACATCACAATTAAAATAACTAGAGAAACTAGAACAAAGAAATTGAAAAGCTAGCAGAAGACAAGAAATAACTAAGATCAGAGCCAAACTAAAGGAGATAGAGACATGAAAGACACTTCAAAAAATCAATGAATGCAGGAGCTGGTTTTTTGAAAAAATCAACAAAATAGAGAGACCACTAGCAATACTAATAAAGAAGAAAAGAGCAAATATTAAAATAGACCCAATAAAAAATGATAAAGGGGATATCACCACCAATCCCACAGAAATACAAACTACCATCAGAGAATACTATAAATACTTCTACACAAATGAACTAGAAAATCTAAAAGAAATGGATAAATTCCTGGGCACATACACCCTCCAAAACTAAACCAAGAAGAAGTCGAATCCCTGAATAGACCAATAGCAAGTTCTGAAACTGAGGCAGTAATTAATAGCCTACCAAGAAATAAAGTCCAGGACCAGATGGATTCACAGCCGAATTCTACCAGAGGAGCTGGTACCATTCCTTCTGAAACTATTCCAAACAATAGAAAAAGAGGGAATCCTCCCTAACTCATTTTATGAGGCCAGCATCATCCTGATAACAAGGCCTGGCAGAGACACAACAAAAAAGGAAATTTAAGGCCAATATCCCTGATGAACATCAATGTGAAAATCCTCAATTAAATACAGGAAACTAATCCAGAAGCACATCAAAATCTTATCCACCATGATCAAGTTGGCTTCATCCCTGGGATGCAAGGTTGGTTCAACATAACACAAATCAATAATTGTAATCCATCACATAAACAGAACCAAAGACAAAAACCACATGATTATCTCAATAGATGAAGAAAAGGCATTCAACAAAATTCAACCGCCCTTCATGCTAAAAACTCTCTATAAATTAGTTATTGATAGAACGTATCTCAAAATAATACGAGTTATTTATGACTAACCTACAGCCAATATCACACTGAATGGGCAAAACTGGAGGCATTCCCTTTGAAAACTGGCACAAGACAATGATGCCCTCTCTCACCACTCCTATTCAACATAGTATTGGAAGTTCTGGCCAGGGCAATCAGTCAAGAGAAAGAAATAAAGAGTATTCAATTATGAGAAGAGGAAGTCAAATTGTCTCTGTTTGCAGATGACATGATTGTACATTTAGAAAACCCCATCATCTCAGCTCAAAATCTTCTTAAGCTGATAAAAAACGTCAGTAAAGTCTCAGGATACATAATCAATGTGCAAAAATCACAAGCTTTCCTATACACAAATAACAAACAAACAGAGAGCCAAATCATGAGTGAACTCCCATTCACAATTGCTACAAAGAGAATAAAATACCTAGAAATACAACTTACAAGGGAGGTGAAGGGCCTCTTCAAGGAGAAGTACAAACCGCTGCTCAAGGAAATAAGAAAGGACACAAAAACAAATGGAAAACAAATGGAAAAACATTCCATGCTCATAGATAGGAAGAATCAATATCGTGAAAATGGCCATAATGCCCAAAGTAATTTATAGATTCAATGCTTTCCCCATCAAGCTACCACTGGCTTTCTTCACGGAATTGGAAAAAACTACTTAAAATTTTATATGTAATCAAAAAACAGCCCGCATAGCCAAGACAATCCTAAGCAAAAAGAATAAAGTCGGAGACATCATGCTACCTGACTTCAAATTGTACTACAAGGCTATAGTAAACAAAACAGCATGGTACTGGTACCAAAACTTAATGGAACAGAAGAGAGGCCTCAGAAATAACATCACACATTTAACGTTGTCTGATCTTTGACAAACCTGACAAAAACAAGCAATGGGGAAAACATTCCCTATTTCTTAAATGGTGTTGGGAAAACTTGATAGCCATATGCAGAAAGCTGAAAGTAGATCCCTTCCTTACATCTTATACAAAAATTAACTCAAGATGGATTGAAGACTTAAATGTAAGACCTAAAACCATAAAAACCCTAGAGGAAAACCTAGGCAATACTATTCAGGACATAAACATGGGCAGAGACTTCATGACTTAAACACCAAAATCAATGGCAACAAAAGCCAAAATAGACAAATGGGGTCTAATTAAACTAAAGAGCTTCTGCTCAGGAAAATAAACTATCATCAGAATGAGCAGGCAACCTACAGAATGGGAGAAAATTTTTGCAATCTGTCCATCTGACAAAAGGCTAATATCCAGAATCTAAAAAGAACTTAAACAAATTTACAAGAAAAAAGCAAACAACCCCATCAAAAAGTGGGCAAAGTATATGAACAGACACTTCTCAAAAGAAGACATTTATGTGGCCCACAGCCATATGAAAAAACGCTCATCATCACTGGTCATTAGAGAAATGCAAATGAAAACCACAACGAGATACCACCTCATGCCAGTTAGAATGGAGATCATTAAAATTCAGGAAACAACAGATACTGGAGAGGATGTGGAGAAACATGAACACTTTACACTGTTGGTGAGAGTGTGAATTAGTACAACCACTGTGGAAGACAGTGTGGCGATTACTCAAGGATCTAGAACTAGAAATACCATTTGGCTCAACAATGCCATTACTGGGTATATCCCCAAGGAATTATAAGTCACTCTACTATAAAAACACATGCACACGTATGTTTATTGTAGCACTGTTCACAATAGCAAAGACTTGGAACCAACCCAAATGCCCATCAATGAGAGAGTGGATAAAGAAAATCTGGCACATATACACCATGGAATACTAGGAAGCCATAAAAAATGATGAGTTCATGTTCTTTGGAGGAACATAGATGAAGCTGGAAACCATCATTCTCAGCAAACTAACAGGAACAGAAAACCAAACATCGCATGTTCTAACTCATAAGTAGAAGGTGAACAGTGATAACACATGGACACAGGGAGGGGAACATCACACTCCAGAGCCTGTCAGGGCATGGGAGAGTAGGGGAGGGATAGCATTAGGAGAAATACCTAAAGTAGATGACGGGTTGATGGGTGCAGCAAACCACCATGGCACATGTTTACCTATGTAACAAGCCTCTATGTTCTGCACATGTACCCCAGAACTTAAAGTATAATAAAAAAAAGTAAAACAAAGACAAAGTATTAAATCAGTTATAGCTGTAAACAACTGGTTAACAGATAAACAATATAAATATATATAAAGTATGACATCAAAAGAATAATATGTGGAGGGGGGAAGCAAAATTATAGAGCCTTTGTATGTGATTGTAGTAAGGTATTATCAGGTTGAATTAAGACATTAAAACTATAAAATGTTTTCTATAAGATTCCTGGTAACCACAAAGAAAAAAGCCTCCAATTGATACTTAAAAGATAAAGTAATTAAAGTACACCGCTACAAAAAATATGACAAAGCACAAAGAAAGATGACAACATTGTAAAAGAGTAATGAAAGAACTAAAAAACAGAATTGAGAACTCAGAAATAAGACCGCACATCTACATCCATCAGATCTTTGAGACACCTGACAAAAACAAGCAATGGGAAAAGAATTCCCTATTGAATAATGGTGCTGGGAGAACAGGCTAGCCACACGCGGAGAATTGAAACTGTGCCCCTTCTTTACACTTTATACAAAACTTAACTCTAGATGGATTAAAGACTTAAACGTGAAACCCAAAACAATAAAAACCCTAGAAGAAAATCTAGGCAATACCATTCAGGACATAGGCACAGGCAAAGTTTCATGATGAAATCACTAAAAGCAATTGCAACGAAAGCAAAAATTGCCAAATGGGATTTGCTTCTGCACAGAAAAATAAACCATCATAAGAGGAAAGTTTATAACAACAAATGCCAACGTGAAAAAAATAACACAGATCTCAGGTAAACAACTAAATGTTACATCTCAAGGAACAAAAAAATTAACATAAGTCTAAAATCAGTAGTAGGAAGGTGATAATAAACATCAGAGCAGAAAAAAATGAAATATATGCTAGAAAGGCAATAGAAAGATCAATAAAACTAAGTTGATTATTTGAAAATATAAATAAAATTTACAAACATTTAGCCAAACCAAAAAAGAGATATGCCTCAAATAAATATAATCATAAACTAATAGGACAAATTACAAGTAATACCACAGAAATAAAAAGGATCATAAGAGACTCCTTTGAAAAATAATATGCCAAAAAATAGTTTAATGTAGAAAAAAGGGATAAATTCCTAGAAATGCACAAAGTATCAATGCTGTATCAAGAAGAAATAGAAAATCTGAACAGACCAAAATGAGTAAAAAGATTGAATCAATAATAAAACATCTCTCATTAAAGAAAAGCCCAGGATAGGCTTCATAGCAGAATTCTATCACTCATTTAAATAACTAATAGCAATCATTCTCAGTCTCTCCCCAAAAATCAAAGTGAAGAGAGAATACTTCCAAACTCATTTTGCAAGGCCAGCATTACCCTGACACTAAGGATAGACGAGGTCATGACAAGCAAAGAAAATTACAGGCTAATTAGATCCCATTTTTCAATTTTGGCGATTCCTCAGGGATCTAGAACTAGAAATGCCATTTGACCCAGCCATCCCATTACTGGGTATATACCCAAAGGGCTATAAATCATGCTGCTATAAAGATACATGCACATGTATGTTTATTGCGGCACTATTCACAATAGCAAAGACTTGGAACCAACCCAAATGTCCAGCAATGATAGACTGGATTAAGAAAATGTGGCACATACACACCATGGAATACTATGCAGCCATAAAAATGATGAGTTCATGTCCTTTGTAGGGACATGGATGAAATTGGAATTCATCATTCTCAGTAAACTATCGCAAGGACAAAAAACCAAACACCACATGTTCTCATTCATAGGTGGGAATTGAACAATGAGAACACATGGACACAGGAAGGGGAACATCACACTCTGGGGACTGTTACGGGGTGGGGAAGGGGGGAGGGATAGCATTAGGAGATATACCTAATGCTAAATGATGAGTTAATGGGTGCAGCACACCAGCATGGCACATGTATACATATGTAACTAACCTGCACGTTGTGCACATGTACCCTAAAACTTAAAGTATCATAATAATAATAAAATAAATAAAAATAAAAAAAATTACAGGCTAATATCTCTGATGAACATAGATGCAAAAATTCTCAACAAAATACTAGAAAACTGATGTTAACAGCACATTAAGAGAATCATTCTCCATGATGAATTCAGATTTATCCCTGGGATACAAGAATATTTTAACATACATAAAGCAGTAAATGTGATACACCATATTAACAGAATAAAGGACAGAAACCAAATAGCTTAATCGATACTAAAAAAGCTTTTGACAAAATTCAACATTCTTTTATGAATAAAAACTCTTAGCAACTTTGGTGTAAAATTGTACCTCAACACAATAAATGCAATATTTGAAAAGCCCACAGTTAACATCATACTCAATGGTGAGAAGTTGAAAGCTTTTACTCTAAGATCAAGAACAAGACAAGGATGTCCACTCTCATCACTTCTATTTAACATAGCACTGGAAGTCATAGACAGATAAGTTAGACAAGAAAAAGAAATAAAAGGCATCCAAATAGAAAAGGAAAAATTAAAATATCTCATCTGCTGATCACATGATATATATAGAAAAGCCTAAAAATGCCACCAAAAAAACTTGTTAGAAATAATTAACAAATTCAGTGATGTTTCAGGGTACAAAATCAGTATGCAAAAATTAGTAGTATTTCTTTACACTAGCAATAGACTATTCAAAAAGTAAATTTAAAAATCAATAATATTCACAATAGTATCAAAAAATAAAATATATAAGTAAATTATTCAGGGAGGTGAAAGATTTGTACACTAAATATTATAAAGCATTAATTGAAGAAACTATAGATGACACAAATAAACATGAACTATCTCATGTTCATGGATTGGAAGCATAAATAGAGTTAAAATGCCCATACTATCCAAATCAATCTACAGATTCAATGTAATCCCTATCAAAATTTCAATGTCATTCTTCACAGAAACAAAAAAAATAGTTCTAATATTTGCAGGGAACCACACAGACTTCAAACAGCCAAAGCAATTTTGAGGAGAAAATAACAAAACTGGAGATGTCACATTAACTGAGTTCAAAATCTATTAAGGCTATAGCAATCAAAACAGCATGATACTGGCATAAAAACAGATTCATTGACCAATGAAACAGGATAGAGAGCCCAAAAATAAATCCATGTATTTATGGTCAATTGATTTTTGACAAAGGTGCCAGGCAAATATAATAGACAAAAGATGGTCTTTTCAATAAATGGTGTTGGGAAACCTTGATGTCCATAAGCAGAAGAATCACATTGGACCCTTATCTCACACCATATACAAAAATCTCAAAATGAATTAAAGACTTAAACATAAGACTGGAAGCTGTAAAAATTCTAGAATAAAACACAGGAAAAATGTTCCATGACATTGGTCTGGGCAATGATTTATTGAATATAATCCCAAAACCACAGAAAACAAAAGCAAAAATTTTAAAAATGAGATTACATTAAACTAAAATGTGCTTGCATATCAAAAAAAGAAAACAACAACAATTATTAGAGTGAAGAGACAACCCAAAGTTTGGGAGAAAATATTTACAAATTATAAATTTGATAAGGGGCTAATATACAAAATATATAAGAAAATCAACCATCTCAATAACAGGACAAAAAGTAACAATGAGGACAGAGGGAGGGGAACATCACAAACTGGGCCCTGTCGGTGGGTGGGGTAATAGGGGAGGGATAGCATTAGGAGAAATACCTAATGTAGATGACTAGATGACGAGTTGATGGGTGCAGCAAACCACCATGGCACGTGTATACATATGTAACAAACCTGCACGTTCTGCACATGTATCCCAAAACTTAAAGTATAATGATAATTTTAAAAAAACTCAAACAACATCTGGACAAATAACCCATTTTTAAAAGAGTACATACAAATGGCCAGCAGATATATGAAAAAATGCTCATCATCACTGATCATCAGGAAAATGCAAATTAAAACTACAATGAGGTATCACCTTACGCTGATTAGAATGGCTTTATAAAAAAGGTAAGAAGAGATAACAAATGTTGGCAAGGAGGTGAAGAAAAGGGATTCCTTGTGTACTGTTTGTGAAAATGTAAATTAATACAACCATTATGGGAAGAAGTATAAAGTTTCCTTAGAAAATTAAAAATGGAATTAACATGCAATCCAGAAACCTAGGTGTTCACCATCAGATGAATTGCTAAAGAAAATATGATACATATACACAATAAAATACTATTCAGCCTTAAAAAAAGGAGTAATACTGTCATTTGCAACAACGTGTGTGTGTGTATATATATATATATATATGGAAAACATTATGCTAAGTGAAATAAGCCAGGCACAGAAAGGTAAATAGTGCACAATCTCACTTATATCTAACTTTTTTAGATTTAAATTGAACACATAGAAGTAGAGGGCAAAATAAAGGTTACAGAGGCTAGATGAGGGTGTGTTTGGGAGACAGGAGATGTTGATGAAGAGGTACAAAGTTTCACTTAGGAGAAATAAGCTTTAGTGATATATTGCACAGAATGGTGACTATAATAAGTAATAATGCATTGTATATTTCAAAATCCTGAAAGACTAGTTTTTAAATGTTTTTACAACAAAAAGATAAGTGTATGAGGGGATAAATTTGTTAATTAGCCTGTTTTATTCATTCCATATTGTAAACATATATCAAAATATTATACCTCATAAATATATATAATTATTTGTTAATAAAATAATTTTAAACAATAAAATTAAAATATAAATAGCTTGCCCAAGGCCTCATAGTAGAGGTATAAGCTGAATGGTGACAGTCTGAAATGTTGTGTGTGAGAGTGAAACATCATAGACAAAGGGAACATTAAGCACATATTTCTAGAGATGAAAGAGAACATAACGTATATAGAATTTAAATACAATTACGTCATTAACAAATTTAAGCAGCAGAATGCAACAATCCCATTTGATTTTAGAGAATTACTCTGCCTGTATTCTTAGAAGATGGATGTAAAGATGACAATACTGAAGACAAAGAAAGCTAGTTTAGTTAGGAGTGTTTTGCAAAAGTTTAGAGTGGTAGCTGACCAGATAGGGCAGTGGTAATGTAGAGTGACAGAAGGGAAATAATTTGAGAACAATTAGCATGAAAACTTTCTAGAGTTTTTTTATGTCTTACAGGATGTGGAACTCATGAATATTGGTAGATGGTGATGCCATTTACTTAAATTTGAAATAAAGATTAAAAAATCAGGTTTGAGGAAGGCCAGATGAGTGTTTCCTTTTAAGATTTATTGGATTTGAGATGCCTCTGGCACACTCACATATTTATGAGTAAAACAATTTGAAACCCTAGGCAGAACCTAAGGCTAAAGAAATATAGGTTTGTGAAGCATCAGCATAGAGATGACAGTTAAAATCACAATAATTATAATATATAATTACACAATAATTAACTTATGCATCAATGAAAGATAGTTTTATGTTGATATGGTTTCACTGTGTCCCCAACCAAATCTCATTTTGAATTGTAATAATAATTCCCACTTGTCAAGGGCAGAGCCTGGTGGCGATAATTAAATCATCGGGGCAGTTTCTCCAGGACTGTTCTCATAATAGGAAATAAGTCTCATGAGATCTGATGGTTCCATAAATAGGAGTTCCCCTGTACAAGCTCTCTTGCCTGCTGCCATGTAAGATGTGACTTTGCTCCTCATTTGCCTTCTGCCGTGGTTGTGAGGCCTCCACAGCCATGTGGAACAGTGAGTCATTTAAACCTCTTTCCTTTATAAATTACTCAGTCTTGGGTGTGTCTTTATTAGCAGTGTGAGAACAGACTAATACACAGGTAGACAATAAAACCACGTTAAGTAAATCTTTTTAAGAGAACAATTTGAAAAATACTTAGGCCAACATGTTAGATAATAGAAAATTTTAGACATACATATTCACCCTAAATAACCTCATTATCACACAGGAAAACTCTCTGTAAGTGGGAACTATTTGAAGAGGTTTTATCCTTCTCCTAAAGATGTCAACTTCTCTGTTCATGAAAACTAAGAAGATCTTACTTGAATTGTGTTAAATTTCATATTTGGCACCAATATTAGTCTTCTGCCAAAGTTAACAAATCTCTACAAATCACAAATCTTTACAGCAGGAAGCAATTCTATAGTTTACAAATAATTTGGTCCAATTCAAACAAAATTATCAGTCCCTTGTAGTGAGGCATCCTAATTTTTGCTGTAGTGCCTTACCCCTAGGTGTTACCCAACAAAGGCTGATTTATGAATAGAGAACTAAGCATTGAGAAGTTAATCTGATTGCTCAAAGCCACATTGGCATTTAAGGAGAAGTAGGGGCCAGAAGCCACATCTCTCGACACTCAAATGGCTACATTTTTCTAGAACACCAAGATTAATTGCAAAGTTTTTTATAATCATTGTAGACATTGTCATAAATTTTATGAGCATATAATAAATGTATAATTTTTCATTTTGTTGTAGATTAAGAATGACCACCAATTTTTAAACTGATATTCATTGAGAGATGAGCTCTATGTTTCCTCTTCTTAAATCTATGCAAACCCTGCTTGACCCATAGAATATGGTAGAAATGATGCAATACTCTTTCAGACCCAGGTATTAAGATAATGGGTCTTTTTACTTCCTGTCTTGGTACATGCACTATTGGAGATGTGAACTTTCATTTAAAAATGTGACTACTCTGAGACCACCATGTCATGAGAAAATCAAGCCATATGGAAAAGAACTGGTGGATGAGTTTCCATGTGAAGAAATTAAGATGCCAAGGAAAACCAAGTCACCTGACGTGGATGAGTCACAAAAGCCATCCTGGGAGTAGATCCTTTAGCCCAAGATGTCACAGTAAATGTCACATCAAATAAGAGACCAATTGCCTGAGCAAGTTTTTTCTCAAAACCTGAGCTATACAATCAGATGATATAATAAAATGGTTATTTTAAACCCTGTTTTAGGTATTTCTTTCTGCAGCAATACATAACCAAAATATATGCCAAAGAAAACAAAAATACTAATAATGTACATAAAAAGCAACATGTATTAACTACTTACTATGTGTCAGGTTTTGTGCATTCCATATATGATTTTATTTAATACTCACAACTATCTTAGCATCCTCTTTTTACATTACCTATCTCTTACTCTTTCTCTACATCACATTCTTAAGGAGATCTTTCCTTCATCTCCATGTCTAGATCAATTGCCTATATTAAATGTTTTTATAGCATCGTATACCTGAGTTCTTGGTAGCTACAATTTTAATTATAAATTCATATTTGTGATCTTGATCTATCACCAGATTCTAGCACAGTACCTAGCAAATAGTGGTCTTCAATATGTTTACAGATCCTTATTTTAGAGATGAAGATATTAAGTTTCAAAGACATTAAATAACTTTTCCAGGCTTATACAGCTAGCTATGACTTGAGCTTAAATCTATCAGATTCACTGTGTCAAATTCTTAACCACTAAGACATTCTTCCATAAAGTAATATACTGGCACAACAAATCCACAGTAAAGGACAACATAAAAGTCATAAATTTTGGACACTAGACTTTTTCGTATGGTGCCTTTGCAGCTTATTTAGGAAATACCAAGAGAAACTTCTGTTCCTTGAGTTGATTTTGAAGAGTATAGAATATATGATTTAGAAATCAAAATGAACATAAACATACTTGATGATTGATGTTTTTCTCCCAAAGTGGAAGTTATTCCCATTGTCAAATATAAAGCATTTTGGAAGTTGCATACTCAGTACATTAATATAATTTCCAGAATTGCCCGAGACTTACTTGAGAATAGTAGCTGTGTTACCTGACATTGGTCTTCCAAAGAACTGGCAAGGTTGGTGAGTAGAACCTCTCCATTAAAACGCCAGACTCTTTCAGTTTTCAGTCTGCCATTTATTCAATATTTATTTAACCGCTAAATATTTATTTAACTGTTATAGCTGCCATGTACAAAACACTTTATTGACTTTCCAGCAGCAGAGAGTACTGACGTGGATAAGAAACTCTAATTGTTCTCTGAATAACTAACTGAAATGTATGGAAGAAGGAGTACTAGTACAGTCTCTCCTGTCAGACACATCTGAGTGTGAATTCTACTTCTGTGACTTACTAGCTGTGTGGCCTAGTACAAATTGTCTAATCATTCCATTTCATATATTTCTTCCTCTGTAAAGTGAGGAAATAAATAATATTTCCCTCATTTAAGTATTTTAAATATTAAAAAATTTTCCATGTGAAGTACTTGACACATAATTGATAGCTCTATAAATGTTAGTTATAGTAGTAATGACTAAGATGATAATTAAGATGATGTAAAAGATGATTTAATGTCCTACAAAGATTATCAAAAAAACCCTATGGGGGCTATATTTCCCACAGAATATTTGGACAATAAAAGCCACATAAAGGGTTTCAGATGAGCAGAACACAAACCTTTCTGTTTCTTCTACTTTTCCCCACCCCTACAGCATAAACACGTACTGAACACACAACTGCACTCACACAGAAATAAATGAAGTGACATTCCCCAAGAAGTTTAACACCTCCCCAAATACAAGAGTAGAAGGCCAGAACTTGTCGCAACAGGCCTCAGACATATCAAGGAGGCAAGGCATAGATTCTATAGTTAGTAACTCATAGACTAGTTAAATCAAGGCCATATGGGTGGTACATTTGAAAAAGGAGAATCTCACTATAGAACCATTGAGAGAAAGCAAATAAAACACAGATGCATAAATGAATGGAAAGGAATGGCTTTAATTTCTAGCTACTTTTTAAAACATATTGAACTGTCCTAAATCTCATAAAACCAAACACCAAAACTTCATGTAATCTCTCTCTCTCTCTCTCTCTCAGATTTTAACACAATAGTTAAACTCTCAGTAGCAAAAATGTTCTACGAACAGGTCAAAACATTTCTTATGCTTTTAGGCTCCTCCTCCTTGTATAAATAGGAATGAGGATGCACATACACACCTACAAGGTACTCTGTAAGGAACAGAGAACTATTAAATCAATGAACTAATGTTGTTTGGGTCTTCGAATATTATAACTAATTTTTTCAAAAAAACTCACATACCTTGCTTTGGGATTTAGAAACATTAAATCAATCAGAGAATATTTAGGCAATAAAAGCCATATAATAGCTGTTCTATTAAAATCCTTACTTCCTTTTCAAAGCTCAGCACAAATGCCCACACTTCCACAAACTTTGTCCAGATTCATTTTCCTGCAACTGATGTCTCCTTCTGAATGCCAAAACATTTGCTTTGTACTTGTGGCATGGCATGATATTTGCATCTGTGTCCTTTTTGTATTTTCCATAATGAATAGCATAAAGGAGGGCAGGAACCGTGTCTAACTCATGTTACTATCTCCACCTACAGAATCTACTCTGGTTCTGGCTTAGATGAAAGACTGTTTAGTGAATCAGAATTGCTATTTCAGATTGTATTAAAGGTAATATTTGCTGACATATATAGAGTGCTGTTATTAGTCAGCTATTGTTGCAAAAATCCCTCACTAAAAAACACCCAA